>NC_000006.12:10211515-10363030 GCF_000001405.40 Homo sapiens
AAGTACTTGATGTACATGGAGACTTACTTAAGCTCTTGTCAACATCGGCTCATCCATTTTCTTCCTAGGATCATGTAAACATCACATGCCACAGTTTTGTGCTGTGGGACTTGACCATTTGATCAAACCACTGTAAAGGAGGTATGCCATGTGGTTTCTAGCCTAATCTGACAAGGTAGAGGTCAATGTGGCCTCAGTCATAGTTTGCCTACCCTGGGGACAACATGAACCTAGTGATTAGTGAGAGGAACCTATGTTTTTGTACTTTGAAGGGGATGAGGGTGTAAGCTACCACCTTGAAGATTCTGCCTGATGACGCAGAATTTTTAGAAATCTTTCAGACTGATTAATGAACCAAGCTCACTCATGCTTCCTGGTCAGTCACCTTAGTGAGCAAAAGTTCTCTTCCAAAATTAAAAAATGTCATTCCCGATAGCGATCGCCGAAAAGCTTTTAAGAGCTAATACAATAATATAGAATTATGTCAAAAATCTTCTCATCTGAAGTTGTTAAATTTTAAAATCAATCCCAACATTTGCCAAGCAAAAGTGGGATAGATTTGACAATAAGATATTTAAATTACTTTATATCAAACCAAAAAACAGTAATAATTCCACAAATGAGAAAAATCTTCACAGCTGCTGTGTCAGAAAGTTGCTTAATATTTCTACCATATGAGGAGTTTATACATGTCAATAAGAAAAACACTACGATACCAATAATTAAGTTAAGGATAGGAATGATTTTACAAAAAACAAAGTTTAGCAACAGTAAGCATAACAATTATTAATCTCAAAAATTATCAAAGAAATTTAAATTAAAAATATTAGCCATTTTCCCTCATCACATACCTATTTTTTAAATAATAACTTAGTAAGGGTTTTCTAAAACAGGTGATGTCACATATTTTTGGCATGAAAATGTCTTATAGCAGCTTTGGAAAGAACTTCAGCAAAAATTATCAAGGATCTAGGAATTTTATTTCTGAGAATTTATCCCAAGGAAAAAACTTAAAATTGGGAAGGTGGACTTCTATGCATACATGTTTACTAAAGTGTTCTTTGAGGAAGAGACAGATTGCATAATTTAAATTTTTTTGTGTGATTACTAAAAAATTAAGAATAGTTAACACTTTTGACACTTACACTGTCCCTGAAACTGTCCTAAAAGTTTATGTGATTGAATCGTTTACTGTCATAAAACCCCTATTGAGTGGATGTACTATTGTTATCCAGTTTTACAGATGAGGAAACCAAGGCACAGAGAGGCTCAATAACTTGCCCCAGGTTAAATAGTAAGTGATAGGGCCAGAACTGGCATCAGGAGCTAATTCTCAATTACTCACTTATATTCCCTCTCTCATTGTATAATATTTTCATTGTAGAGAACTTACAAAAGACAGGTAAACATAACAACAAAATTTAAATTCATTTGTAATAACCAGAGATAACTAGTAGTTAGTTCCTTTCAGTTATTTTGATAAGCATTTGTAAAATCCTATTACACAATTCCATCTCATGCTGCATTTATTCAACAAAATATTTCGAGAATTTTCCGTTCTCTTCTACAATTACTTGTGTTCCACCTGATATACATGTAATAGAGGTATATGGCCAGTTGATTTGCCTCTACTTTTAATTACTATATTCAATGCATTAAACAGCTTTTACATAAATCTTTGTCTGAACTTTTGATTTCTGAAAACAGAACTTTGCTTTTGAGGACAAATGCCTTTCTTAAAAACTATACAATTTTTAAGGATACTTGACATATTTTTTGACATTACTTTGCTTTTATTCTTTTTTATCTTTTTTTTTGTTTTTGTTTTTGTTTTATTTATTTCAATAGGTTATGGGGAACAGGCAGTGTTTGGTTACATGAATAAGTTCTTCAGCGGTGATTTCTGAGATATTGGTGCACCATTACCCAAGCTGTGTACACTGTACCCAGTGTGTAGTCTTTTATCCCTCACTGCCCTCCCACCCTTCCCCCGGAATCCCCAAAGTCTATTTTATCAGTCTTATGCCTTTGCATCCTCATAGCTCAGCTCCCACATACGATGTTTGATTTTCCATTCCTGAGTTACTTCACTTAGAATAATGGTCTCTACTTCCATCCAGGTTGCTGCAAATGCCATTTTTTTGTTCCTTTTTATGGCTGAGTAGTATTCCAAGGTACATGTATACCACATTTTCTTTATCCACTCATTGACTGATGGGCATTTGGACTGGTTCCATATTTTTGCAGTTGTGAATTGTGCTGCTATAAACGTGTGTGCAAGAGCATACTTGACATATTTTCTATTTTTCTTTTTCTTTTTTTTTTTTTTTTTACAGTCCAGAGGTCTTTTATTTTTTTAACACCTATGATGCCATGAATTCGTAGGGAAGAGGTTCCAGCAGCTCAGGCTCCTTCCCACGGGCTCTCATAAAGTGTGCTTCTCTGGGTGGAGCAGACTGGTGCTTCAGTTGAACCCAGGCACCTTTCTCTTTGGCTTCTTTCTTTTTCTGATCATTTTCCTTCACGCGTTTCAGGAAGCTAGCTCGGCTCTTAGAGTGTTTAATGTGCTCAATACACACATTAATTCTCTTGGCAAGAATCTTGCCCTTAACTTGTTTGTTTACAACAATGCCAACGGCATGCTGGGGAACACTGCAGACTCTTCCCATTTAGCCATGGTAACACTTGGGGCATTCTTTTTTGAACAATACCCATTCCCTTGATGCCTACAATGTCACCTTTCTTATAGATTCGCATGTATGTGGCCAAAGGAACAACTCCATGTTTTCTAAAAGGCCTAGAGAACATACATTGGGTGCCTCTTCTCTTTCCCTTTGTGTTCGTCATCTTGGCAAATTACTGGAAGATGGCGGTTCCCGCCGAAAGGTGATACATTTTCAAAGTGTTGTTCAGAAAATGTTTTATCAATTTATTTTCTTGTTAAGGGTATCTGACAACCTCTACCCTACCAATATCATTATTGAAAACATTTGCTAATTTAATAGTTTAAAAAAAGTCTCTTGTTGCCATCTTATTTGTCACTTTTTGTTCATTAATAGATATAAACATGTATCATATATCTAGTGGCCACTCAATATGTATTTTTTGTATAATTGCTCATTCATGTCCTTTTCTCAAAATTGGTGTTTCACGTATTGATTATGTAAGCTGTCTGTATATTAAGGCTATTATTCCATTTACACTTTTTATTACCTATATTTTTAAATGTTTTGTTTACTGTATTATTTATAAACATAAAAATCTGGAAACATGCTAACTCCAAAAGGGAAACAGTAAGTGTGCTACATTCATTTCGTGGGATATTATTTATTGAAGAAAATGTTTCTGAAAAGTTATCAATATATGGGGGAATGTTTATTTCGTGGTATTACAAGAAAATATAGGAAAAAGTTGGATGTTCAGTATGATAAAAACAAACAATATTCATATTAAAAGACTGGAAGAAAAACTATTAACAGTGATGATTTTTAGTATTGGGTCTTTCATTGATTTTTTTTTTCTTTCTTTTCTTCCTTTTGTTTTTTTTTTTTTGTAGAACAGTAGTATTTTCCACCAGAAAAGAAGAAATAAACTTGAAGAAGAGAGAGAAAAAGGAGAAAAAGGCATTGTAAAAGAACCAAAAAAAAGGGGAGGGGACTAGTACAAAGCTGATCTTCTATACAGCGTTTCACTTTGCTGAACTGCATGAGAGATTCCCTAATAAACTTCTTCTCACACTTGAATATCTTGTTCCAAAAAGTAGGAGATGTACCAGACAATCTGCCTTCCCTCAGCTTTCCTGCTTCTCACCAGGGGTGGCCTGGACCAGGTATTTCCACAAACCAGAGGGGCCCATGGAACCCCAGAACACAAGACAGATGGGCTTGAGTTCCAGGACCTGAGGACTCTCCATTAATTCCTCACTGAGGGCAGTTGGACTTGCTGCTGAAGGGCAGCCGGGGGCCCTATCCCACAGGCCTGGAAGGGTGGGACAGCAGCTGGTACACACAGACCCCATTCTGCCAGCTGTTAGCCACACAGCTGCAAAAAGAAGAGAAAGATCCAGGCAGCTACTTAGCTGACTGCACAAGGAGGGCCACTTACATCCTTTCACTGGATATAAGTTAGTTTTCCGACTGTCTTTTCCCCAGATGGGGTTTTACCTTCTCAGGGTATGAGTGCCCTTGGGATAGGAGAACCACTGACCTTATGGCATGACCAGAAGCATCCTTTTGTGAATTGATTGCTGAACTCAAAGCATTTCTCCAAAAATCATGATGTTCCTCAAAAGGAAGAAAGGGAGTTAAGAAAAAGAATTTTAATCTGCACATGACTGGGCATGGCACTGGTTCTTAACCCTGGCTGCACAGTGGAATCACATGAGGAACTTTACAAATGACTAATGCATCAGGGATTTAAAAAAAGCACCACAGGTGATTCTAATGTGCAGGCGGTTGGGAATCTCTAGGCAAAAGCGATGAGTTAAAGCGATTGAGAAGATCGTTAAATCCAAATGAAGCGTTTGAGAAACAGATTCAGTACCTCTGGTGGAGCTGGAATATTTGTAATTGTGTAATTCAGTTCAAGGGTTTAGTACTTTTTCCATCACTTCGTGTTTTCATCTTACATCATCTTCATCTTGCATCTCTATGAATAACCCTCTTCCCCATTGTCAAAGGCAGCAAAGAAAGGGTTACAGTATCTTGCCCAATGTCCCCTCACTAATACAGAATGAGGCACAGAGAGCTTGAATAATATAATGGAAGCCTAAGGCCAAAAGCCACAGCCCTAACATCCTTGCTATTAATAGAATATTGTTTACTTTGGAGTGGAAGAGCTTTTTAATGGAATTGGTATATGTGCAGAATAGTGTTAAATCAGTGGAAGATTGAGAAAATATTAGGGGAAAATTTGTTGCTACTCTCATTATTAATTTGTAATGGGTCTTTAATATGGCAACAAATGAAAACATCTTTGACTACTTGTTAAGCCAATAGAAATAACAAGAGAAATTCAGTGTACTAAACAGTATTTTAAAGACAATTACTAGATAAGGATTTACTAGTGAAAATTCTATCAGAAACAAACCCAAACAAAAACTCTATCATTAACAACGCATATGGCCTGATGTGAAAAGCGTTATGAGACCAAAAAGAAAGTTCTAATGCTGTAAATATATTAGAAGTTTATCAGCTAATGAATAGAATACAATTGATTCAGTGACTTAAAGTTTAACTAGTAGTTTATTTTATTTATGATTTTATAAAGTGAAAAGGGAAAGCAATCAATAAACCTACATGAGAAGAAACAAGAATGGAAAACTTGGTGGTTTAGATGCCTATTTACATGGGAAAACGTTTCAGATCCCCTGGGATGATAAAATGTCTGTTGAAAGAAACATAAAAGGAAGATGATAGGAAATTTAATAAACCCAAATTACAGAATGTGTTTCTTTCCATACTACAATTTGGCTGTGGTTACATATGATAAATAGAGATAAAGAAATACAATAGGAAAAGAAGAACAAGTACAGTCTTCTTGATGACAAGTATCTTGTAAACAGGCAGTAACATTTATTTTTAAATGGTTGTCCTCTTTTGCATGCATTCGTACTTTTTTAACATAAAAACCAGACATGTAAAGCTAAGAAAATAAGCAGCTACAATTAGAGTGGGAACTGGAATTGGGAGTGGGTGACCAGGGAAAGACGATGGAGTGGGCTTGTTCTCTTTTCTGTTCGCAAACCTGTAGTTAAGCAACAGGTTAAGAGAAGAAAACTCTTGTTCTGCAGCCAGAGACAAGTTCAGCAAGTTTCTGGACCAAAGAGTGAACTCACGGAAATGCCAATCCATCCACAGTCGACTATTAGTAAAGTAGAGTAGATGACAGATCTGGAAGAACCCACTGAAAGCCTGGTTGAAATCTCTAATTGCAAAAGAACATCAACAGAAAAATACAGCTGGAGGGAAATGAGCCTTGGTTTTCCTCCCAAACAGGCCCAGGAACAGACCTCAGAAATAATCCTGATCTAAATGTGCAGACTGGCCGGTGGAGTCTTCCTCCCTGGCCACATTTGCCTGAAAATGGAGCCTTCCCACAGCTGTTTGGAGCAGCTTGTGGCACACTGTTGTGTCTGTTCATTCAATATAATTAAGAACTGCTTGCTCTAGGGGAAATGAAGGATTTGATTAAGGGGGAGTGTTTCTTCTCCCTTTCTTCTTTCTTGCTTTTGTTCAGTCTTACCCAAATTTTTTTTACCATTTTTTAAGTCATGTCACTTTCTGGGGCAATTTCCACTTTTTGTTATGGACAACCAAGTGCTAAAGGCACATAGTAATGGGGTGTGTGTGTGTGTGTGTGTGTGTGTGCATGTGTGTGCTTTAAGATGGAATAAGGGAGGCTTGGAAAGAGGAACGCATCCCAAACTGGTTTTTAGACCCCAAAAAGCAAAAAATTCATAAAACCAAAACTGACTGAAGCAGATTATGAAGAACCCTGAGCAAATGCCAAGCGGCGTGTTCCCCAGGCTTGGAATGGCATTTGCACTCGGCGGCAATAATTTCTTTGTTAACAAGTAAATCCTCCCAGTTCTTTCTGTGGCTTCTGAAGTGTCACTATTATATACCACTGTGGAACAACCACAGAGGGTGGGCTGGGGAGGGAGGGGACCTGACACCGGTTATCAATCTTTCACAAACCACAAGTTCTAAAACAGCACAGGATTTATGAGCAAACAAGTCCAAAGAGCCCCATCCAGGGACTGAAAAAATCATGGAGTTGGGATGACTGTGAACATGTCAGAACCAAAGAGGGAGGAGAGAAAGATGGCACAACAAAATGGGCCCTCCTTGCAGATGGATGATTCTAATTGCCATCAAACCTGATTTCAAGAGCATTTTACAGCTCTTCTTTCCCCATTTGAAAAAGTTAAATAAGTAGAACATGTCAATAAATGTGATCAATATCCAGAAAACCTTATAGTTAGCTAATATCCCAATGAGGACGTTTGTATTGATTCAGTTCTTGATGAGGTCCAGTTGTATATCTGAGGGATCTGCTCTATGAAATGTGTAGGGCCTTGAACACAGTGGGTGTTCAGTAAATGTGAGTGCATTGGATTAGTGGCATTCTAGATAACTGAGGTTAAACAAAAACTGTCCCTTTTTTTCTCCTCTATTGTCCCATCAACTATCAAATGCCCTTGGTACATCCCCCAGAAATATTTTAAGATCAATTTATCTTTCCCATTCCCAAAACTGCACCCTTTCCTAAAATTTATCATCCAATGCCTCAAATATCACAATACCTGCCAAGCCAGTCTCCTAGCTTCTGGTTTATCAGATTACTCTTACTAAGCATTCACCAGCTCAAAAGCTTCGAATCACTTTCTAATGCCTTTGGGATAAAGTTCAAATCCTTCTGCTGACATTCAGGGCTCATCACAATTCAGTTTCATCATGCCTCTCCAAATTTTCAACAAATCTCAAAAGAAAAATGATGCTGGCATCAAGTCAATGTCCTCTCTGGTCTTGGTTAACAAACTGCATTTCTGCTGCCATAACTTTGCTTTTCCTGTTCACCCAGCTCACCTTACCTAGAATGGTTTTCGCACTCCCTCCTTCTCCTCTTTCCTCTCTCCATCTTTTCCATGGAACCTCACCCCTCTCTTTGTCCTGAGGGAGACTCTCAGAACTCCAATGTTGGGATACTGTCTGTTTCACTATCGCCAGCCATTGCAGGCCATTAGTAGGACTTTCTCTCTCTCAAGCATTGTCCTGACTTCTTGATCCACTCTCCATTCATTCTTTCATTCATCCGTGCCTTCATTCAACAATCGTTTATTGACTATTTTGGGCCTATTTTGGGCCAGGCACCATGCAAGGACCCATGTATAGAAAGATAAATGTGAAAGAGTCTATTGTCAAGGCAATCCCAATCAAAGAGAAGGAAATTACAATGCACTGTGCTCAGTTCAATAAAATATATTTACATTATGCATATGATCTCTCTGGTTGTCAGAATCTTAAATTCCTTGAGGCCAGAAACTATACCATGGACTTCTTTTGTGGTCCCTAGTAAGCTTATTGAGCATGTAACTTGGTTTTTGAAACATGCTTACACAACGTTAGTGAATGTTGCAATAATAGATTAGAACTCAAAAATTTTCTTGGTATTTCTTCATTTTGCCAGGAAAAATATTCAGGTCTAAAATGTGAGTTATAGAGAATATTTCTGAAGGGATAAAGTCACTAGTGACCCCAAGAAAGAATGAGTTGCCTAACAGATGGGGCAAGAAAAAATACTTTTCTATGTACGTGTTTTTATACTTTTGAATCTGATACCATGTGAATGAATAACTAATTGAAAAATAATACATTTGTTGATACAGTTTTAAGGAATCAATAGAGATAAAACTATAGATGCCACATTTTTATTTTTCTCTTGTCCTGTTGAGCAGTGATCCCCAACCTTTTTGGCACCAGGGACTGGTCTCATGGAAGACAATTTTTCCACAAATGGGGTTGTCGGGGAATGGTTTTGGGATGGTTCAAGTGCATTACATTTAGTGTGCACTGTATTTATTGTGCACTTTATTTATACATTTATTGTATACTTTATTTACAGTGTAATATATAATGAAATAATTTTATAATTATACAACTCATCATAATGTAGAATCAGTGGGAGCCCTGCGCTTGTTTTCCTACAACTAGATGGTTCCATCTGGGGGTGACGGGAGACAGTGACACATCATCGAGCGTTAGATTCTTATAAGGAGCACGCACCCTAGATCCCTCACATGCGCAGTTCACAATAGGGTTCATGATCCTATGAGAATCTAATGTTGCTCCTGATCTGACAGGAGGCAGAGCTCAGGCGGTAATGCGAGCAATGGGAAGTGGCTGTAAGCACAGATGAAGCTCCACTCACTTGCCCGCCTCCTGCTGTGTGGCCCGGTTCCTAACAGGCCATGGACTGGTACTGGTCTCTGGCCCAGGGGTTGGGGAACCCTACTCTTTAGGATGCTTGATAAAATGACAACTTAGAAAATCTTTACCATAAACACAGATGATACGAATGATAGGAAGAATACAGGTGAATGGATAATACACAGTGCTATTCCAAAATAATTCTTGACTCTCTCCCCTTTCTAATGGATTTGCTTCTCTTTCCTCCTGCATTTGCTTCTAACCTAGAATTAAGTTTGAGTTCAAAAACAAACAAACAAAAAAATCTGGCTTGGCATTCAGTAGGCTCTGGTTCTACTGGCCCTGGTGCTTTCTTGCCCACTAAGAAAATAACCAATAGCAGAGTCCGTGGGGTGTCCTGAAAGGCCGCGTGCCCTGGCCATGCCTGGAACAGAGCTAAGCATAGTCAGCCTGCACAGTCAGCAGAGCCCTTCTCAATGCCATTTCCCTCCTATATACCCCTCTGGATCTGTTCACCTGTTTACCCGAAGAAGGGGCTGTTTTAGGGTGCTGGCCGTGGTATTAAGAGGGTCAGCTGACAAGCACATGGGTAAATGACATGAGAGGGATAACGCCCTTTTCTATCTATCTACCCCACAGCTGGTAATCTTGCTTTGTCAAGAAACAAAAGGATTTTAAAATAGGTGTTCTCTGTGTAACAAATATAGAATGGAAAGTTTTTACAAGGTACCCCTTTTAACAAAGCACCATGCATTTGAATTATATTGAGCTCAGCATCACACTCCCGGAGTTGTTCATGAAAATTAAGAACTATCCAAACTATTGAACCTCTATTAGCTGTCTGTTTCCCCCCACAACCTCCACTCCTTGTGCAAATCATATTCAACCCATTCGTGATAATGTTCTCACTGGCACGCCTGGAAACTATTAAAAACAGATGTCCAGACCACACTGCAGACATCTGGGATGGAGCAACTCTGGTGGGGTCATAAACATGTCTCTGTGCGTGGAGGATAAGCCCCCTTCAGGTGTCTGTTTAGGGTCTTCTTATAATACCAAATATGTAACTTCCAAACGAGAAACTAGAGGCAGCTTGCATTTGCATTTACTTTGGCATTTTTTTTCTTATTTTTAAGTTTGCTTTCACGGATTCTGAAACGTAAACTCTTATCTTGAGCTGCTGAGGCCTTCATAAAGATTACAGTGAGACCACACATTTATACATTGAAACTGGAGATTCGACTTGTGTATGTTACCCACCCTGGAAACACCAGATCCTACTTTGTTTCATCTAATAAATGCTCTATTATTAGAGAAAGAAAGAGGGGAAGAAAGGGATAACTATATTTAAACCAAGTTTTATTTGCTTTCACTGTTACTATCAATTGTTCCTCCAGTATTTGCACAGTTTCTGAAAGTATTTAAACCAAAGCAATGCTTGTCCCAACTTTTTTTTTATAATGAGGAAAATATGTCTGGTCTTATTCATACTATCAGAATACAAGAGTAGGCTTTGGGCATGAACAAACGGTAGTGATTGGAGAATCCCAAAGACTGATTTCTCTAAAGAAAAATTTAAAATTGACTTCGGTATTGTATGAAAGGAGAGAAGGTTGGCATTCCCTTTGACAAGGATGGAAGAGGCCCTCAGGCCTGACAACAAGCATTTAGTTAAGGCATTGCCACCTACTTCATGGCATCTAACCATTATTTAAATAAAAAATAAAATAAAATAAAGTTAAATATGGCACCTTTTACTGCTAAATCACTGACTTTTGAGAATAGTTTCTATGTTGATGGTTGTTTCTCATACGATAGTGTTGGGAAAGGATTCAAATCCATCCCATTGAAGGAGAAATGCGTTTGACTTAACAAGTGTTAAAATCTCCGGAGCAAGAACATACATGAAAGATAGAATGAACAGCTTTCTATTCTGTATCCCCAGCCTCCACCTCGCCTCCACCCTGCCCTTTACTCTCAAAAACCCATATGCTATGATGGTTTCTGTCTATTCTTCCTGGGCAGCAAATCTGGAAAGCGGGGTGCTAAAGGGAGCCCAGAGTGAAGAGGGTTTTTGAGCTTCCAGAGGATTATTGAGGGCTGATTAGCCATGGCTTTCCCCAGAACTCATATGTTCTCAGGCAAGTCTAGGTTCTGAGCCAATAGAGAGCTTAATGGAACCACAAGGAGTTAAGCGTGACTCTTTCACAGTGACTCTCTTGGCTGTCATCGGAGATCCAGAGCACAATACAAAAAGGGCACTTAGTCTTCTTTTCTTTCAGCCTAGGAAGTTACATATTTAGTAGTTTCATGACCAGTAAGCAGAAAATCAAGTCATCCGCTCCAAAAGAAATAGCAATAGAAGTATATAGAAGTATATGCTTACTTCTGTATCACTTTTTTTCTGCTTTGGGGGGGCCCAAAGTTGTTTTTTTTTTTAAATCTTAGTCAATTTTTTTAATACACAGTTGATTACTTATTATGGTTTTTATCTGCTTATGATACTTCTACATTTTTCTTGACAAAGATTGAGATGATATTCATACCCCCTTGGATATTAAAAAAAATCACAGATGAAAAGGAAAAATCTTTCTGTGGTTATTTCACAAACTGGAAAAAGTAAACAACATATAATAATCATAAATCAATATTATTTTCAGACCATGCAAAGAGAGGCAGCAGCTGAAGAAACAAATTGCCCCTTAGAGAGTAGGGTGAAAATGCAAAATGTTTTTGTGAGAATTTTTTTAATACAGATGTTTGGAGTCTTATGGATAATTATTTCTAAGTCACTGTGATTTGGGAAGGACTTCTTTCCCATACTTCCTTTTCACCAATAGCCTTTGAGCTTCTCTATCCACATTCGTGAACATTCATCAAATCAGAACACCCACTACCTCCTGGATTATTAGGATTATCAAAATGCAAAGAGAAAGAACCCGATCATATGCAGGTTCGAGTTTCAAAATGACCGGTGAGACTCCTACACAAATGATAGGCATGCATACCAAAGATGTGATTTTAGGAACTGGGCTTTTGAGTTTCAATAGACTGAGCCTATTGATAACACACAAAGTTTATGACATAAACAATAGATTGGAAAGAGTATCGCTGAAAACTAAATTGCAACTCCATCGGCTAGGGTAGACAATTAGGAAAGGAAAACAGTCAAGTCAGATGATGATGCGGGCCTACAGGAGAGCTCACCAGACCCTGCCCTATGTCCACAGCCAAGATGGGCTCCGGAGGGAGGGGAACTGGTAGAAATTTCAGATAGGGACCTGAGATCAGGGGAGACTGGAATTCCTCAAGGAAGCCTGGGACATTGAGAAACTTTAAGGAGAAGTCACCTTAGCCAGCTTGAAGTGGCGACTAAAGAAGTGAAGTGGCAGGAGGTCTGAGGCAGGTCCCTGAGTCTCTGCCCCGGAGAGGAGCGGGAAAGCAGCACACAGTCTTACACCCTCCCGCTTCCCATGAGGGAGCAAAAGGGCTGAGAAAAACAGGGAACTAGGAGGGGCCTCAAGATCAAAATGAGTTGTACTTGGAGTATGTGGACCACAACCAGAGACAATAGTGTGATCATAAATGGCTCAAGGAACACTGGATGAATAGACAGTGAAGACAGAAGACCAGATGCCCCTCCCCTCCAATTCACTGACAGCATGAAGCTCTCCCCTGTGTCTCAAATACAGCCCCAGGGAGAAGTTATCCCTCATTGACTAAGTTTTAGTGCCTGTCGCCAGTGGAATAAGGGCTTAAGTTAGAAATGAAATGGAGTAACTTTTCTTATGTTTTTAAAGTCACGTTTTTTGTGCACTCAAGTTTGTGGACAGTGAAAATGATATTTATGCTACATTGTGGTAACAGGAAAATATATAAATAATCCATAATTGTCACATGACAAGGAATGTTTAAAAAATCTGAATATCCTGACGAGCCAGGGTAGATCATTGCTGGTAGTCACTCTCAGGGTCGCTTAAGAAAGAGGCTCTGTAAAATTGAAGTAAGCATATAGACATCTCACAGTAATTACATTTTTCTTATAATGATCAGATCTTTGTTAACACGAAATGATTTTGATCTGAGCACCACAAATGAAAACAAAGTAAACATAGAACATTTGAGCCAGGCACGGTGGCTCATGCCTGTAATCTCAACATTTTAGGAGGCTGAGACTGGAGGATCAATTGAGTTTAGGAAGTCAAGGCTGCAATGAGCTATGATCATGCCACTACACTCCAACCTGGGTGATTAGAGCAAGACCCTGTCTCAAAAAAGAAGAAAAGAAAAAAGAAAGAAACAGAAAGTTGGTATGTAAAACGTATAAGAAATGAAAAATAACTAAGATCATGATACAGTCCGGAGGAACAAAGGATACCTTTCTAGGGCTTAAAGCATCAGGATGAATGGATACCTCCACAATGATCTTGAGGACTTGATCAATAGTGAGCACCTAATAACTGTTTTAAAAATAAAAACAGCTTCATTTTTAGGGAATTTTCAAAATCACCCATGATTTTCTTCTTTTTCATTCTTCCCCTTCTTCCATGAAAAGAAAACAATATTTGAGCCCTTTAATGATCACTTTCTGTTCCATGTTCTCAATTTGTCCATTTTTGTCATCAGGCTAATTATTCCACTTATTCATTCATCCACTCAATAGCTATGTATTGAATGTTCGGTATGTGCCATGCACTGTATTAGGTTCTGAGAATCCATCAGTGAACAAGAGAGAAAAAATTGTCTTACCTGAAGAAGCTAATAAGAGCACCAAATACTAAACAAATTGAATATGTTAGAAGATAAGTGCTATGGAGAGTGATAAAGTAAGGAGGGGAATAGGGAATGTGGAGGGAGAGGTAATAATCTTAAATGCAGTGGTCTGATCAGAGCTTACGAAGATGGTGACATTTGAGCAAACACCTGAAAGAGATGAGGAAATGAGCTCTGCAGAGATCTGGGGAAAGTGCTCTTGGTGGAGCGGACATTAAGTGCAAAGGCCTTGAAGGGGATGCATGTCTTGTGTGTTTAAGGAAGGGCAAGGAGACCAGCGGAGCACAAAGAATACAGGGGAGACAGTAAAAGGAAGTGAAGTCCGAAAGTGATGGAAACCAGATTGTAGGACCTTAAGACCATTACAAAGACTTTGGCTTTTACTCTGGAGGGCTGTAGGCAGAGGGATGACATTATCTGAATGACATCCTAATAGCACCACCACAGCCACTGGAGTGGGAATAGACTAAAGAGGCCAATGGCAGAGACAGGTGGAGCATTTAGGACAGTTGCGGTAAATCAGGTGAGAGTTGATATTAGCATGGACAAGACTGGTTGCCATGGAGGGGAAAAGAAATGGTCAGATTCTGGACTTAGTATGAAGATAAAACTAGTGAGATATATTTATGGATTAAATGTGGGGTGGGGCAAAAAAGGAGTCCAAGATGACTCTGAATTAGAAGAACTGGAAGGATGCAGTTGCTATTAGCTAAAAGGAGGAAAATTGAAGAAGAAATCAATTTGAGGTGATGGGCAAAGACCAGACACTGTGTGAGCTGTTCGACATCCAAGTGGAAAAGTCAAGTAAGGAGCTCAGCATAGGCCTGGGTTGAAGACGTAGATGGAGAATAATCTGTGCATTAATGGGTTTGGACTTAGGCATTTAGACAAGGTCATCAAGGGAATGAGCATAGATAAAAAAGAATTCTAAGAATTCTAAGCTATGATCATGCCACTATACTCCAGCCTGGGTGATAGAGCAAGACTCTGTCAAAAAAAGAAAGGAAGGAGAGAAAGAAAGAGAGAAAGAAGAAGGAAAGAAAGAGAGAGAGATAAAGAGAGAGAGGAAGGAAGGAAGGAAGGAAGAGAGAGACAGAAACAGAAAGAAAGGAAGGAAGAAAGGAAGGAAGGAAAGGAGGGAGGGGGAAAGAAAGAAAGAGAGAGGGAGAGAGGGAGGGAAGGAGGCAGAGAGAGAGAAAGAAAGAAAGAAAGAAAGAAAGAAAGAAAGAAAGAAAGAAAGAAAGAGAAAGAAAGAAAGAAAAGAAAAGGAAGGAAGGAAAAGTTTGTATGTAAAATATGTAAGAAATGAAAAATAACTAAGATCATACTACAGTCAGGAGGAACAAAGGATACCTTTCCAGGGCTTAAAACATCATGCTGAATGAATACCTCCACAATGATCTTGAGGACTTGATCAATAGTGAGGGCATTCCAAAGATAAAAGGTCTAGAAGATGAGAAGGAATAAAGAGGCTTTGTTTGAGATAGGGTAAAACCAGAAGTGGGGATATCCCTGAAAATATCAGAAGGAAATTAATAGCCACCTAGAATATTCATTGATACTGCTGCCCTTAGAGCATCTTGTGCTCTTTAATGACCATGAGCTTTCATTTGGACAGTCACAAGAAGTGTGATGAAAAACAGATAAAACACAGGACCTTACTAAGGAGGTTACTGATAGGAGACCCTTTCATTAAAAATGGTAATTCAAAGAATACTCGAGCCAAGAATTTCTTCTGAAAGAATCACAGGGCAGGGTGCAGTAGCTCACACCTGTAATCCCACCATTTTGGAAGGCCAAGGTGGAAGGATCATTGAGCCCAGGAGTTTGAGACCAGCCTGGGCAATATAGCAAGACCCAGTTTCTACATTTTTTTTAATTAGCCAGCTGTGGTGGTGCACACCTGTAGTCACAGCTACTAGGGAGACCAAGGCAGGAGGATCACTGGAGTCCAGGAGTTTGAGGCTGTAGTGAGCTATGATCCTACCACTGCACTCCAATCTGGGCAACAGAGTGAGTCGCATCTCTAAAAATAAATAAAAGGGTCGCAGGTTGGTAATGACCCCCAGATTCCTGACAGAAGAAAATTTCTCTTGAAGAATGCTACTTCAGTCAGGTTGCAAAGAATTTCCATAGATAAATTTCCATTAAACTTGATCTCACATTTGAATATCCTTAAGAACATGAGAAAACAAGGCACCATGAGCAAGAGTCAGCAGGAATAACAGACAGTAGAATCAGACCTGCATAGACTTCAGTAGGTGTATTTTGAAAATCTGTATGGTTAAAGAAAGGTGTTGTGGCTTGCAAATGTTTCATTATATGTTTAAAGAAATAAAAAGGGGCATTGAAATTATGAGTAAGAGTGGAAAAAAGACAATAAAAATATCCAAGCAGTTTTGAAAAAACACTAAGTAGAACTAATAGAGATAAAAAATGATAGTAATTGAAGTTTTAAAACACAAGAAATGGATTAAATGGAAGATTAGACACATCTGAAAGTAGGATTCATATATAATTTTAAAGTTAAAATTATACTGAGATGCAGCACAGAAAGACAACTAGATTGTAGAGTGAAAAGACAAGGAATAGGTGCTCGAGAGCACCTAACACACAATAAAAGCTCTACAAAATCATAAAAGAATGGTGAGCTGGGGAAAATAATAGTCGGAGACAAAATGGCTGAAAATTTTTCAGCTTTGATGGACAAGACTCAGAGCCAGAAATTAAAATGAATTCTAAGCAGGATAAATACAAAGAAATCTGCATCTACACCATTATAGTAAAACTACAGAATAGCAATGGAAAAGAGATCTTAGAAGGAATCAGAGAAAGAAAAGACCTATGTACATTAAAAAGAACAATTCTTACACAGACCAGATACAGTGGAAACCAAAAGACAGTGGACTAGTGTCTTCAAAGTGCTAAGAAAAAAAAAATGACTGCCAAACTAAAATTGTAAACCTGTATAGATTATATTTAGAGCAAAGCCAAATAGAAACATTGTTTAGACAAACCAAAAAAAAAAAGAAATTTTACAATCAAGTCCTTATTAAAGGCAATTAATCAAAACCCTATAGAAGAATATCAGTAGGAAAAAAGAAAATCGCAGAGTAAAGATAAGACACATAAGTAATGTCAAGCAAAAACATTGTTAACATTTAATGAAATCTAAAACAAACATTGAAAGTATAAAACAAAAAGAATGAAGTATCTAATTTGTAGTATCAAAAAAATAGGAAGAATTAAAATAGCACTTGTGCAGAAACAGGGTAGGCAGATTGTTTGCACTATCTGTGAGAAGGGTAAAAACACTAATTGATGCTTCAAAGAGAATAAAATACCTGGGAATCCAACTTACAAGGGATGTGAAGGACCTCTTCAAGGAGAACTACAAACCACTGCTCAATGAAATAAAAGAGGATACAAACAAATGGAAGAACATTCCATGCTCATGGGTAGGAAGAATCAATATCATGAAAATGGCCATACTGCCCAAAGTAATGTATAGACTCAATGCCATCCCCATCAAGCTACCAATGACTTTCTTCACAGAATTGGAAAAAACTACTTTAAAGTTCATATGGCACCAAAAAAGAGCCCGCATTGCCAAGTCAATCCTAAGCCAAAAGAACAAAGCTGGAGGCATCACGCTACCTGACTTCACACTATACTACAAGGCTACAGTAACCAAAACAGCATGGTACTGGTACCAAAACAGAGATATAGATCAATGGAACAGAACAGAGCCCTCAGAAATAACGCCACATATCTACAACTGTCTGATCTTTGACAAACCTGACAAAAACAAGCAATGGGGAAAGGATTCCCTATTTAATAAATGGTGCTGGGAAAACTGGCTAGCCATATGTAGAAAGCTGAAACTGGATCCCTTCCTTACACCTTATACAAAAATTAATTCAAGATGGATTAAAGACTTAAATCTTGGACCTAAAACCATAAAAACCCTAGAAGAAAACCTAGGCATTACCATTCAGGACATAGGCATGGGCAAGGACTTCATGTCTAAAACACCAAAAGCAATGGCAACAAAAGCCGAAATTGACAAATTGGATCTAATTAAACTAAAGAGCTTCTGCACAGCAAAAGAAACTACCATCAGAGTGAACAGGCAACCTACAAAATGGGAGAAAATTTTCACAACCTACTCATCTGACAAAGGGCTAATATCCAGAATCTACAATGAACTCAAACAAATTTACAAGAAAAAAACAAGCAACCCCATCAAAAAGTGGGCGAAGGACATGAACAGACACTTCTCAAAAGAAGACATTTATGCAGCCAAAAACACATGAAAAAATGCTCACCATCACTGGCCATCAGAGAAATGCAAATCAAAACCATAATGAGATGCCATCTCACACCAGTTAGAATGGCGATCATTAAAAAGTCAGGAAACAACAGGTGCTGGAGAGGATGTGGAGAAATAGGAACACTTTTACACCGTTGGTGGGACTGTAAACTAGTTCAACCATTGTGGAAGTCAGTGTGGCGATTCCTCAGGGATCTAGAACTACAAATACCATTTGACCCAGCCATCCCATTACTGGGTATATACCCAAAGGATTATAAATCATGCTGCTATAAAGACACATGCACACATATGCTTATTGCAGCACTATTCACAATAGCAAAGACTTGGAACCAACCTGAATGTCCAACAATGATAGACTGGATTAAGAAAATGTGGCACATACATACCATGGAATACTATGCAGCCATAAAAAATGATGAGTTCATGTCCTTTGTAGGGACATGGATGAAATTGGAAATCATCCTTCTCAGTAAACTATTGCAAGAACAAAAAACCAAACACCGCATATTCTCACTCACAGGTGGGAATTGAACAATGAGAACACATGGACACAGAAAGGGGAACATCACACTCTGGGGACTGTTGTGGGGTGGGGGGAGGGGGGAGGGATAGCTTTAGGAGATATACCTAATGCTAAATGATGAGTTAATGGGTGCAGCACACCAGCATGGCACATGTATACATATGTAACTAACCTGCACATTGTGCACATGTACCATAAAACTTAAAGTATAATAATAACAAAAAATATATATATATATATGTGGCCCAAAAAATAAAAACAAACAAACAAAAAACACTAATTTATTTATTAAGTAGGCATGCTAAACATCCCAGGTAACTAAGACTAAAAGTATAATTTATTACTTTCACACTCATACAGTGAAAAATAATAGAGTGAGAAAAATCAACCAAAAAGAAGTCAAGACATGAAAAAAGAAAAGTGGAGCCATATGGCGTATTTGAGAACACAACATAGCAGAAATAAATCCAAATGCATCCAAAGTTTGATAGCCTAAGTAAAAAATATAAGCATAGCTATTAGCTGTTCATAAGAGAAATTCTTAACTCATCTCTCACCTTATATAAGAATCAACTCAAGATGGATCAAAGACTTAAATCTAAGACCTGAAACCACAAAAATTCTATTAGAAGATAACATCAGAAAAACTCCTCTAGACATTGACTTATGCAAAGAATTCATGACCCAGAACCCAAAAGCAAATGCAACAAAAATAAATAAATGGAACCTGATTAAACTAAAAGCTTCTGCACAGCAAAAAAAAAATAATCAGCAGTGTAAACAGACAACTCATGGAGTGGGAGAGAAAATACTTGCAAAATGTACATCAAAAAAAGGACTAATATCCAGAATCTACAAGGAACTCAAACAAATCAGCAAGATAAAAACAAATAATCCCATCAAAAAGTAGGCAAAGGACATAAATAGAAAATTTTCAAAAGAAGATATACGAACAGCCAACAAACATATGAAAATATGCAAATTAAACAACAGAGTAATGCAAATTAAAATCACAATGCAAGAATGGCCATAATTTAAAAGTCAAAAAATTATAGATGTTGGTGTGGATGTAGTGAAAAGGGAATAGTTGTACACTGCTGGTGGTAATGTAAGCTAGTACAACCACTATAGAAACAGAATGAATATTCCTTAAGGAACTAAAAGTAGAGCTAGCATTCAATCTAGCAATCCCACTACTGGACATCTACCCAAAGGAAAAGAAGTCATTATATGAAAAAGATACATGCACACGCATGTTTATAGCAGCACAATTCACAACTGCAAAAATATGGAACCAACCTAAATGCCCATCAAGCAACGAGTAAATAAAGAACATGTAGTATATATACACCATGGAATACTTCTCGGCCATAAAGTGAAATGAAATAATGGCATTCACAGCAACCTTGATACAGGTGAACATTATTCTAAGTGGAGTAACTCAAGAATGGAAAACCAAACATCGTATGTTCTCACTTATAAGCAGGAGCTAAGCTATGAGGATTCAAAGGCATAAGAATGATGTAATGGACTTTGGGAATTCAGGGGGAAGGGTAGTGGGGGAATGAGAGATAAAAGACTACATATTGGCTACAGTGTACGTTGCTCAAGTGACGGGTGCACCGAAATCTTAGAAACCACCACTAAAGAATTTATCCATGTAACCAAAAACCACCTGTTCCCCAAAAACTATTGAAATTAAATTAAAAAAAAAAAAAAGATGTACTCGGCTGGGAGCAGTGGCTCATGCCTGTAATCCCAGCACTTTGGAAGGCCGAGGCGGGCAGATCACCTGAGGTCAGGAGTTCGAGATCAGCCTGACCAACATGGTGAAACCCCACCTCTACTAAAAATACAAAAATTAGCTGGGAATGGTGGCTGGAGCCTATAATCCCAGCTACTTGGGAGGCTGAGGCAAAAGAATTGCTTGAACCTGGGAGGCAGAGGAGCCCAGATCACACCATTGTACTCCAGCCTGGGTGACAGAGCAGAACGCCATCTCAAAAAAAAAAAAAAAAAAAAGGCATGCTTAAAGCACAAGGACATGAAAGGTTGAAAGTAAAAGGTTGGGAAATATACCAGGAAAACATTAGCCAACAGAAAGATACGGTGGCTAGGCTATACTACCACTGAACAACAACAAAAACCTTTAAGAAAAAAGTATTCCTAAAGATAACATGGTCACTCTATATTAACAAAACCTTCAATCTACAAAAAAAGCTGTAATAGTTCTAAACGTTTACATACTTAATAATAAATCCTAAAAATATGGTTAGCATTAGAGTAGAAAAAGTATTAACTAAATTATAAGGACAATTTACAAATCAACCATCTTTGTAGAATATTTTAATGCAAACTTATCAGTTATAGTTAAATCAAGCAAAGAAAAACAATGAAAAATAAAAAGACAGGACATTTTAACAGCCCAATTAACAAGTTTGGATTTATATATTACCCAACAATTGAAGAATATATATTCATTTTCAAATACCCAGCATATTTTTGAATAGGCCACATGCTACACTATGAAACAAGTCTCAACATATTTCAAAGAATTCATATCATATGGGCAAATTCTTTCACAACAATAAAATTAGGTTAAAAATCAATAACAAAAAGAAAACTAGATTTTTAAAAAATCATTTGGAAATTTAAGTCGTACTTTCCAATAACTTATGAGTAAAAAAAGAAAAGAAATTAGAAGAGAGTCAAAATGAAAACATACTGAAAATACACATATTGAACTGAAATGTTACTAACAGAAGTGTTTTTTGTTTTAGGTGCTTATATTAGAAAAGAAACGGTTGAAAATGCACAAAACATCCAGCTTCAGAAGTTAGATAAAAGGCAGGAAAGTTAAATTTAAGAAAGCAGAAAGTGGGCAAAAATAAAGAAAAGCAAATTAGTAAAACAGAAAACAAACATACAATAAATATCAACAAAGCCAAAATTTAGTTCTTAGGAAAAACTAGTTAAATTGACAACCTCTTGCAAGATTAATCAAGAGAAAAGAAAGAAGATATAAAGAAACATTATTAGGGATGAATACAAAGGCATAACCACAGATGCTATAAAGATCTAAAAAGATAATAAAACATTATGAATAAGAAACCAATAAATTTTCAAAAATTATACAAAATGGAGAAATTCACAGAAAGAAATTTAACTTACAAAACTGACTCAGAAAGAACCAGAATGCCAAATTAGTTCTATGACTATTAATGTAATCCAAATTTCTCACAAAGGCAGCAGGCCCAGACTTTTATGGCAAGTTCAGCAAACTTTTAAAGAACTTATCAATCCAATGTTATCCAATTTTCCAGAAAAAAGTGGGAATACTCTTCAACTTATTTTATGATGTTGGATACTGTATACAGGACCCTATACATAGGAACTGTATAAAAAAGGGATATTACAAGCAAATTTCACATATTAACACAGATGTAATACCTAAAAAAGATATTAAGAAAACAAATATGTTTTTAAAAGTTAATACATACAGACCAAATTGGTTTATTGTTAGAAAATTGATTGGTTTATTGTTAGAAAATTGATTAATTCACCACTTTGGTTAAAAGAGAAAACCATTTGATTATCTTAATACGTGCAAGGGGCATAGAGCATTAAAAAAACACATTTTGCGAACTAAAAATTGACAGGAACATCTTAACCTCATAATGAGAATTTAAACAAACTAATGCAAATACTATATTTAACAGTGGTACAATCATAGCTCACTGTAACCTCTAACTCCTAGGCTCAAGGCATCCTTGTGCCTCAGCCTCCAAAGAAACCAGGGCTACAGGCACATGCCACCACACTCAGCTAATTTTTTTATTTTTCGTAGAGACAAGGTCTCCCTCTGTTGCCAAGATTGGTCTTGACCTCCTGGCCTCAAGTGATCCTCCTGCCTCAGCCTCCCAAAGTGCTGGGATTCTACGTGTGCACCACCATGCCCAGCTTGCACTGGCTTTAAAATTAGAAAAAAATGACACACATGACCATCTTATTCACGATGTACTGGAAGGCCTACCCAGTATGATAGGAGAGCAAAACAAGAAAAGCTTCAAAAGGAGTATGATTAGAAAAAATATCACTAGTGTTCTTCATTCTAAACCCCAAAGAACCTATAGTAAATGTTTGGCATTTGTGCTCAGCAATGTTACTAAAACAAAACAACTAAAAAAGCTAATTGCATTTCTACGCACCAGAAACAAATAAGTAGAAATTAAAATTTTTAAATGATATTATTTACAGAAGTAAAAACGATGGGGAAAATGTAAGCAGCGTGGACGAGGCACTGAATGTCTCAAAGAAGATGAGACACGCAAGAAGGTAGGTGGCTGAGTTGCCATGATAAAAGGCTGTGGTCAAACAGGATAATTGAATTTAAGATTCCAGAGGTGAAGCCACTCTGTGTGATGACAAGGGCCAAGGCATTCAGCAAATGGCTGAACAGAAGCAGAGGTACCAGTAACTTCATCATTTCCTTCTAAGAGGTATTGGACAGGAGAATCTGTTTGTAGGCATGGAGAAGAGTCCATAGGTCTTGTCGAGAGATTGTTTTAGTATGTTTTGATTCAGATCAGTAAATGTAGCAAAAATGCTTTCATTCTCATTTTTCTATAACGAATAAAAACATGTTTTGTTTGTATTTATTGTATGATCGTCTGGCTTAAGGGTGCAGAAGATGGAGAATGCAACTCCCAGACACAACCACCCAGGAAATAGTACTGGAAAAAAATCAGGAATATTTACTTTCAAAATTCACAATTCTTATAACAAATAAATGTATCAACTACAAACATGTGCATGCTTGTGTTTTTGTGTGTATGTTTTGTGGGCAAACACTCTAAATCGGATTATAGGAAATTGCCATCTTTGTAGTCATATAAGTCAATATCAGCAATTGCATATTTTCATATTTTCTGGGTCTGCTATATGAAAATACTGACCAAGCTGAAAAGATTGGTTTTACAGATAAAGGGGATGGGGTGTTACCACACTACTTTATGTTTTTACAGAAAAAAAAACAAAAACAAGCACGGCTAAGTGGCAATTATATTTTGCTACTATTGCCAATATGATTCTATTAACTATGTTAAGAAGCTATAAAGTAAAATATTTTGCTGGTTACTTCTTTAGTCAACTCGAGTAGATATTATCTCTTGACTAATGAATAAAGGTTCATTTGATTATAAAATGCAGTAGTATATTAGTGTGATCTTGGCGCATATTATATGTGGTACAATAGCTAACTGGCATAGATTCTAATTCCGATGCTTTTATGTAGGCCTTGCTTCCCTATTAAAATTGGAAGTGTTAATTTGCCAGTAATCACTCCACTTTCTCCTATCGTCTAGCAAAAAGGACAGGCCCTTACTGCATGGATAAAATGTAGTAATGCATTTAGTGCTAGGCCATGATTTTAGACCTCCAGCTGTTTTACTGGTTGTATAACTAAAAATAAGATAATGTTATGCTGGGTAACCACGGCTTTTGTAGGCATTCACATTTTACAAATCACTGCACAGTATGCAAACCATTATATTTTTTAAATGCTTAAATCCGACCTGGGAGTCTCACACTTCCATTATTAAAGAAGAGCTTGCTAGACTGTGAAGTGGTCTGAATCCTGGAAAGGGAAGCTGGTGGGCTGAGTTTATACTGTCCGAAAAATTCCTCCACACTACCCATTCCTGAAGCCCGGTTGAAAACAGGCATTCCTTGCCGTCAACGATGAAGAGCAGAATTGTCAAAGGTTGATGGGGTTTTTTATTTTTATTTTTATTTGATCTGTAAACCTCCTACTTATTCAAATAATGCAAACCAGAGAGCAGTATATTGAGCAAGAACAGTGGCGAGAAATAGCATGCCTCTCTAAACAGGCTTACATTAAAAATGAAGGATCAGAGGAAAGAACTTTGCTGGTTCACATCATGCAAACACATAAAAGTCCTGTGATATTTATACTTCTGTGATCTAATCAGAAGCCCAAAGCATGCTGTCTTTAACTGATTTATTTGTTTTGCATGAAAGCATTGATAAATAAGTAGAGCTATCCTGAGCCACATTTTTACAATGGCATCTGCTTTCAGAAATCCCAGTCATTCAGAACAAATGCTCCTGGAGCACAGTGTCCCACATAGACACAAATACTGGTAAGGACTTGGTGAAACTGTACGGTATCTGAAATTGCTCTCAAGGTTCTATGGATGATTTACATTAAAAACAACAACAACCCGACGACGACAACTGAGATGGCCTTTAACTTCTCCAAACACTGCATCCCATATAGAAACCCGAGTTTATGTAGAGGCATCTAAAGCTCATATAAATGTGGTTGCATTCCCTACTTGGGCAGGGAAGACAGAGATCCCTGGGAAGCGAAATGATTCAGGTGTCAGTCAATCAAGGCCAAATAAAAAGCAAAACGTGTGTAATTAGAAGTGCATACATGTTCAAGCAATGTTAGCTGATTCTTAGATCCAAATTTTAACTCGCTTTTAATCACCGAGTGAGTAGTTGGGAGGCTGATCATAGGAATGGAAGAGAGAAAATAGGCTTGTCTGTGACTTCCAACCATTACAATGTTGGTCGAGGGGCCAGAGAGGAACCAAAGGGATTTGGGAGGGTGTATTTGAAAAATGAGACTTAGTATATAGGAAATGAGATTAGAAATCACTCCATGTGTGAGCTTTTAGGAGTGGATTTCTATGTGGGATTGCTAGAGGGAGAGGGACAAGGTTATTGATTCTGTGAAAAAAAGTGAAGGTACAAAGATCAGTCAAAAATGTAGTGTTCCTGGGAATCCAGAAAAATTAAGGTGTATAAAACTCATCTTTTCTAACAAGTTCCTCATGTTCTTCAAGAGTGAAGACTAGAATCCCTTCCTTCCCCAGCCTTTGTCTCCTGCACAGGTACTGTTCGCTACTCTTAAGGATGCAAAACTGGGTCTTCCATTAAGGCAGGAATGGGCAGGACTCCGTTGGTCTAAAATGTATCTCCTATGGGGCCAGGCATGGTGGCTCATGCCTGTAATCCCAGCACTTTGGGAGGCCGCGGCAGGCAGATCCCCTGAGGTCAGGAGTTCGAGACCAGCTGGACAACATGGCAAAACCCCATCTCTACCAAAAATACAAAAATTAGCCAGGTGGTACGTGTCTGTAGTCCCAGCTACTCAGGAGACTGAGGCAGGAGAAGCACTTGAACCCAGGAGGCAGAGGTTGCAGTGAGCCGAGATCATGCCATTGCACTCCAGCCTGAGCAACAAGAGCGAAACTCCATCTCAAACTAAATAAATAAATAAAAATAAAATATATCTCCTGTTGGGTTTGGCTCGGGATCTTTAGAGCCAGAGGGGAACTTAGAATCCGTCTGGTGCAAACCTCTAATTTTATACACAGGGACCTGTGACACAGAGACGTTAAGTGGTTTGCCTGAGGTCACACAGCTAATAAGCCATGAATTAAGCCAAATCTTTCTGAGCCTAAGTCGTGTCTTCAAGTTAATAGTACCAGACTGTCTGTACTTTCAATTCTTTCCACTCCAAAAAGGCAACTGGGAATGGTGAAACTAATTCTTCAAAATCATACCTATCCCCTTCACAAGGGACAAAATCAAATGTCAGAAGATAAAATGTCACAAGCCATGCTTTGGCATGGACATGAAGCACAGTCTGAGAGCCTGTCTGAGTGGACAAGAGGCTGTGGCTGAGGAGTGGCCAGTGACGAGCAGGGTGTGGACAGAGGCCTCACCTCCCCTCGGAGCGCCAGATGGCAAGCACAACTTCTCTTTGAGTCACCAAATCACTGAGTCACACCTTTCCTTTCTGGCTGACTCCAGCTTAATCCGAAGGGTGAGGTGAATATTCCCAGTCCTAAACTGAAGACTGTGCCTTTTTTTTCTAGGGAAAATGAAAGACCTAAGGAACTTAGCTTGGGGTTTGGTTGTTCTTTTGAAGCTTAACAATATCTGCATCTCAGGCCAAATTAACAATTCACATATATGTATATAAAAACATAAACATATATATACATTATATGTACATAAACATATATATACATAAACATATATATACATAAACATATATATACACACCATAAACATATATATTAAAAAACCATAAAACAAAAACAAAGGCCAACTTTTAACATATATAATGTATAATACATATTATACATTATATATGCTTGACATGTTAAAGTATTATATAATACATATATATGTATTGTATATGCTTAACATATATGTTTAACATAGATAATACATACATATTATATAACTATATATGTTTAATATACATATGCTTAATATATATGTTTAACATATATATGTTAAAGTTGGCCTTTGTTTTTGTTTTACGGGTTTTTTTAATGTCCTAAAAAAGCCCTAGGGCCTTTGTAAGCATTTTCAAATAATGCCAAGTTCTTAACATTATCCTTTGAAGCCCTGCAAGTTCCAGCCAATTTGGCCCCTACTGTCTTCAAGTTTAAGTGCAACACTTTTACTTCAGAAAAATTAAACAACAGACATATGACATGAAGTCATCTAAGTATGTTGATGCTGTGTCTTCACATTTGCACCAGGTCCACAGATACGACCCCTCCACTCTCAGCCAATCCAGCTCCTAGGATTCAACGTTCTGAAATCCAGGCTCTTTTCGATCAGCTCATTGAAAGCGCGTTACCTCTGCACTCTGCCCTATCCCCACCTTCCTGGCTGTCCCATGTCTCAGCCTAATGACAACATATTAACTAATTTACTTTATCAGTCTTGTGGTTGCTGGGAAAATATTTCACAGATTAGATAACTTATTGAAGAAGGCTGAAAGTGCCTCTTCTCTCTAGCCTTGTGGCAATTAGTAGTCACTCAGCCCACCTACAGTTTGGTTCCCATCTCTGGAAGGTGCCCGGATGTTCTGAAGCCCTTCCTCTCATTCTTCCTTAACTATGCCAGGTATTCTGGAAAACTGAAAGGCCAGAATAACATCTCATTTCTCTCCCACTTCCCCCAAAATATTATATTCATTGAGTAGAGAAGCTTTTGACAAGGAAAGTCTTCAATAAACAAATAAAGCAGGCTTTTTTTAAAACTCTGAAGTTATCTCAAAGCAGATATCACATTCAAAAGATGATGAGAATTAGGCTTTCCCCCACCCACCAATCACTCTACTGAAAGCCATTAATATTATTAGTTGCAAATCCATTAGGTTAAATTGCCTCATCACATTTTCTAGACCATGATCTAGGAAATGTAAAGATGAGGGGTAAAGAGTGAGGACAGATTCCCCTGGAAGAGAAGTTATGACCACTCAGCAGGCAAGATTTTTCTACTGAAAGGGGGCAGTTCAGTGGGATTCTCTTAATGTGAAACCCTAGGGTTTCACATTAAACTTGTTAGTGTATAACTAGCACCCTTGCTTTTGCTAATTATATAAACCTGTTAGCTGCTATTATTTCTTGACCATTTCTTTAGTCAGTGTTGCCCACTCCCTAAGTTTAAAAAAGTTACATAAAGTTGTATTCATACCTCATCAGTGGGTGATGCTTCTGTATCTTTGTCCTCTGAAGATGATGTGGAGAGATAGCCCATCAACAGTGCCTTCTATAGCTCTAGAGATACCCTCCCTGGTCTCCGAGACTTTGGCTGTTAAGTTTGGTGCTGCTCAACATTTTAATATTTTTATTATTGCTATAGAAATATTTCTTAATTGTAGATGTTTAAATATCACTCGCCATTTGTTGAATCTCTAAGAAACTGGTGGGTTTTCTCATTTCTGCTTCAGAAACAAGGAAATAAGAGATTAGGTGGTACTCAGGATTAGTATTCTTCCTGAATCCTGTTTCACAGCTCCCTAAGAGGCAGCACCTGCACAAAGAGGGAAGAGGATGGGCATCTTTTTCTTGGAAGCAGGAGCACCTGGGTCCCAGTCCAGGCTTGCTCAGCCTTTCCCTAGCTGTGTCACTGTAGGCAAGTTACTTAACTCCTGTGAGACGCCTGTACTTCCTCAGTCGATGTATCTACCTTGTCAGAGGTCAATAGAATAAATTGTGGAGAATAACTAGCATAATATTAATAGATAATAGCAACTATCGTGAGGCCCGAAAGAGTCAGGAAGGCAAGCTCTATACACAATTGGTTCAATCAGTCATTCTGTTGTAATTGACTGACTGGACATGCTAAGTGGCATAAAATGTTAGGCTTAAGCCTACTGTTAGTTCAACTGTTTAGGGAGATAATTTTGACCCCACTCAAAGATATCCCTCCTCATCCTCTATTAAAGTAGTAAACTAGAAAGCAATACATCTGGAATAGAATGTCTTATTTATGTCATAGAATAAAATATATTGCTTTTGTAATGGACCTTGTCAATTTTCCCAAAGCCTCCCTCCCATCCCATCACTTTCAATCATGGAGATCGGGTATCTTGGTGTCCCATCTGCAGGGTGGATCCCAATGGTCCTGTGCTGGTCAGTTTAATTATTGGTTCGGGAAGGGGCGTGTAACCCATGCTAAATTAATCCTAGGGATGTCCAGGATTTTGTTTAGTGGTTGAGGGAAAAGCAATTCTCTCTTCCTCTAGGAAGGCATGGTTTGCCCATAAAAAGCCTGGAGCTGCTGCAGCCACTTCCCGCTCTGAGAGAATCCAAACTGAGGATGAAACCAACCACCAAAAGAAGGCAAAGGAAAAATAATCTCAAAGAAACAGAGCTGGGGAGCTGATCAAAGCACTCTGAGGCTTCCTAGAATGTTGACCTTTTCAATTTCTTGAGCCAATAAATTCCTTTAAGTCCATTTAGAATTGGGTTAGCTGGTATGTGTGGCCTCATGTATGTTAACTGTATGATTTCTTGAGCTGCACTATTATACTACCACCCTTTATCAAGGATTGATGTACAAAACCCATTATATATGTTTCTGCATCTTCTGGAAAACCAGTCTTGAAGGCATTATATTACCATTGTCCTTTAAAAAACAAATCCAGCTAAGTGGGGTAGCTCACGCCTATAATCCCAGGTACTTGGAAGGATGAGAGGGAAGGATCACTGGAGGCCAGAGTTCAACATCAGCCTGGGCAACACAGCAAGACCCCATCTCTAAAAATAAATAACTTAAAAAACATGAATCCATGTGATGAATTTACTCTTTGAATTTAATATTAGAGGGGAACAGAGCTTACTTCTAGAGAATCTACATGCTATCATTTTCCAAACTAGATCTATATACCCACATAATTTCCTTTTTGCCTCAACTGTCTGGAAAGCAGAGATACATGATGTTGGCAGGTTTGGTCACAAGCACTGCAGGGACCTTGGCAATGTGTAAAGACAGGAAGACAGGAGAAGCTGTGAACATGGTTGTCAGAGTCCCCAACCCCAGCTGGGCATCAAAGAGTGTCAGGAGCCCTGGATATGCTTGGGAGGGCAGAAGATTCAAACAGACAGCAAGTGCACTCAGAGGTTTAGAACATCTTGGATTGGATCAGGCTGCTAGTAAGCCCTTAATAAACAGCAGTTCTCTTCAAGGCCACATTGGTAAAAGCGAACATGAGAACCACCCACATCAGATCTACCTGAAGACTACAGGGGAATTGTTGAGAATGAAGATTCCTAGGCCTCAGCCTAGGCCAGCTGCATCTGATTCTAGGTGGCCTTCGGAAATCTGCACCTCTTATAACCTCCTCAACTAAATCTGATGCATTCTAAATTTCCTAAACTTGCTTGACTGTAAGACTTGTTAATACACTGACTACAGTTCCCCACCCCAGAACTCATGAATCAGAATCTCCAGGGAAAGGGTCTAGGAATATTCACATTTAACAAGCACCCCAGGAAATTCTTCTCATCAAGTGTGTTTAGGAAATGCTTCCTACTTTAGGTCAGGCTTCTATAACAAAGTAACATAGGCTGGGTGGCTTATAAACAACAGAAATTTATTTCTCGCGGCTCTGGAGGCTGGAAGTCTGAGATCAGGATGCCAGCATGGTTGAGTTCTGGCAGAGGCCCTCTCTGGGTTGCAGACTGCTGCCTTCTTATATCCTCACATGGTGGAAAGAGAACAAGAGAGCTCTATGGGGTCTCTTTTATAAGGACATTAATCTCACTCAGGAGAGCTCCATCCTCATGACCTAATTACCTCCCAAAGGCTCCACCTCCTCAAACCATCATGTTGAGAGTTAAAATTTCAACATACAAATTGGAGGGGAGGATAATTCCGTTCATAAATTTTCCCTAGAGAGTACTGGAAATCCATTGGCACCAGAGCCCAAGGGCTCCTGCATCCCAGGTTTGCTGGGAAGTTGTGTACGGGAGCCCCATGTGACACTGGAAGATGTAACGAAGTCATCAGATCCAAGATCTGGAGAGGCTGACTTGCTTCTAAGTCCTTCAAGATGCTGAAACTGGAAGCTAGTCATCCACGGGCTTCCCACACCTGCCAGGTGCAGGTCTGGATCTGCTAATGCTGCCCAACACCGGGACCACCTGCCCAAAGCTGGGCAAACTGAAGCCAGGGCACAGGAGGTGTTTGCCTGCGGCAGCCATCAGACTCCAAGCATTTCATGCTCTCTCATCATTGGATCTCAACTATGGCTGCTTTAAGTCAGCTAAGGAGCTTTAATAAAACCCATGCAGTGCTCCACCCAAACTAATGAAATCAGAATGGCGGGGGCAGGGGGGACTGCTGTGTTTATTACCCCCATCACCCCCATCTAGATGACTCTGTGCACAGCCATAATTGGGAAACACTGTGAGTTGTGTCCACTTTTCTTCCTTCATCTCTGCTCTCAACTGCCCTGCTCTGCATTCTTATTTAAAAGGCATCTCTTTAACTGTTGTTGCAAATCTGTACGGAAATACTTTAAAACATTTTAAGTCACTCATTAATTCAGTCAACTAGTGAGTTCATATTTTTAAGGTTATTTTTTATTTTTTTAAAAACAGGGTCTCTGTCACCCAGGCCAGGGTGCAGTGGCACAATCATAGCCCACCACAGCATCAAACTCCTAGGCTCAAGCAATCCTCCTGTCTCAGTCTCCTGAGTAGCTGGGACTACTGAGTTGCTGCACAGCACCATGCCTAGCTGCTTTTTAAAAATTTTTTGTAGAGACAAGCTCTTACTATGTTACCCAGGCTGGTCTCAAACTCTGGGTCTCAAGTGATCTTCCTGCCTTGACCTCCCAAAGCTCTGGGATTATAGGCATGAGCCTCTTCATTTTTTAAAAATATACACCATATAGGTGAATTGGCATTTTAAAAATCCTTCCTTGGTGATGGAATATAAATCAAAAAATTCTGTAGCCAGAATTATAAATGTGATTGCCTCTTTAGAATTCAGTATTTATGCACACAAATATTTACTAGATATATTATAATGTAAAAATCATCTGATGACTGGAGTGATGTTTTGAAGATGAAATAAGAGGATTGCAATAAAAGGCGGTGTGATGAAGAGTAAAGGCTGTACTATATTTTTATCTGCATAAATACCAAAACACGCAGTCAGTTAAGTCTAATGTTAAAACAATAAATGGTAATGGTTAAAATCAAAAAAAAAAAAACAAAAAAAAGAATTGGATATTTATACTTTTTTTTTTTTTTTTTTGAGACAGAGTCTCACTCTGTCACCCAGGCTGGAGTGCAACGGCTTGATCTCTGCTCACTGCAACCTCCACTTCCCCGGTTCAAGTGATTCTCCTGCCTCAGCCTCCCAAGCAGCTGGGATTACAGGCATGCGCCACCACATCCAGCTAAATTTTTTTGTATTTGTAGTAGAGATGGGGTTTCACATGGCCAGGCTGATCTCGAACTCCTAACCTTGTGATCCGCCCACCTTGGCCTCCCAAAGTGCTGGGACGACAGGTGTGAGCCAGGGTATTTATACTTTTATGGGATAGGAAAACCAATCTACGTAAACACTAAGAGGTGGAGCCCTGGCCTTGCATCAGTCTACCCTCCACAGACTTTGGTCACAAACATAAGAAGCTGCATGTGCTCAGAAAGAGCACCAAGCATCCTGGGCTGTACAAGAGGAGAATGCACTGGAGAGGGTTTGTAATCACCTTTTCCCCCCACAGTAAAATATCATTTTTAATGGAAACAGTGAGCAAAAAACTCTATAGGCAGCAGGGTGTGGTGGCTCATGCCTGTAGTCCCAGCACTTTAGAAGGTCAAGGTGGGTGGATCACCTGAGGTCAGGAGTTCGAGACCAGCCCGGCCGACATGGTGGAACTCCATCTCTACTAAAAATATAAAAATTAGCCAGGCATGGTGGCGCATGCCTGTAATCCCAGATACTCGGGAGGTTGGAGCAGGAGAATTGCTTGAACCCCGGAGGTGGAGATTGCAGTGAGCTGAGATGGAACCACTGCACTCCATCCTGGGCAACAGAGGAGACTCTGTCTCAAAAAATTAAATTAAATTAAATTAAATGTAAAACGCTATAGGCAAAAGTTTATCGTTGCAACATGGGTCGTTAGGAGTAAAACTACCAATTGGTATCTTTGAAATAACAATGTTTCCAAAAGCATCACTTTAAGGTCCTTACTCACGGGACACATTTGCCATGAGCCTACTCTCTCACCAGCCCGTGACTCAGCTTCATCATGCAGTGGTCCAAGTAACAAGGGATCCGTGAGTCAAATGGAAGAATTTGGAAAAGTTTGGTGGGGGAAAATTAATGAATTAATAAAACTGACCCAACTATGTGGGGAAAAAAAGAGCTCTTGTGAAGTAGAGCAGAAAATTATTAAGGTGGCCCTGCACTTTATAAATTGTTTATAGGCGTGAGCTTGGATACAGTAGAAAGAACATTGGAATTAGTGACTTCAGTTCCAGTCTCAGCCATAATATGTGCTGGCTCTGTGCCTCAGGCAAGTCTCTGAATCCTTCTGAATCTCAATTTCCCCAACTGAAAAAGGGGGGTGATAGTACTTACCTCACTAGATTATAATGTAGATCAAAGCAAATAACAGGTAAAGAAACCCTTTGAAAATTACCTTTGCTGGACAGTAGGGCATCTAGAAATGGTATAATTATATTCCATGCTGTGAAAAGTTCTAGCTTAGAATTTTGAGCAATTAGGTGCTCCACAGCAAAATAGAGGACATGGAGAACTTGGAGAAAGTTCAGAAGACAGCCACAGAGATGATTAAAGAGATTGAAAATCAAAACCATGCTTAGGAAAGGTTAAAAGAACTGGGTTCATCCTGCTTGGAGAAGACAAGTCTACAGGGTAATTAAATCATTGTTTACAAGCACACGCAGCCTGGTGTCCAGCTGTTGCTTCCAACTGACAAAAGAGAAGAAAGTACTGTGGACCCTCATCACTGGCAGATTTGACATATGAGGTTTCAAATCATTGTGCGTGACTCTGGAGGTTCATGACATGTCATAATTTGTATTTTTTTTCTAAGTCACAAATTCTAACCACAGGTGTGTGAAGGGAGCCCTGAGATGATCAGTGACTGAGTCTATCCAACTACCCAACATAGAAATCTCAATGGGGGCTGGGTATAGAATCGCTTCAGCACTTTGGGAGGCCAAGGCGGGTGGATTATTTGAGCCCAGGAGTTCGAGACTAGCTTGGGCAACATGGTTACACCCCATCTCTACAAAAACATACAAAAAATTAGCCAGGTGTGGTGATGCACATGTGCAGTCTCAGCTATTCAGGAGGCTGGGATGGAAGGATCGCTTGAGTAAAGGAAGCCAAGACTGCAGTGAGCCATGATCACACCACTGCACTCTAGCCTGGGTGACAGAGCAAGACCTTGTCTTAAAAAAAAAATTTAAAAAAAAAAAAAGAATTCTCAATGGAAATATGTTGTACCCCACTAATGTCTTTCACACAGTAATTCTCAGAAATAACAAAAATAATAGCTACCTTTCACTGTTGACTCTGTACCAAGCAGTGTGTGCTAAGAGCTTTCAGTGCAGTATTTCATCTCATGGAGAAAGGAAATGAGCATGAATTAGTTAAGGAACACACTCAAGGTCACCCAAGTAGTAAGTAGAGGAGCAAGGGTTTTGTCCTACGTGTTATCCAGAGCCCAAGTTCTTCATAGCTGCCACAAATTTTCTTTGTGAAAAATGGCCCCAGAAATAGAGTCACCATGGATCTTAAATTCAGCTGATTAGATAAAAGAAAAAAACAATTAATTAAAATAGAGTCACTGTCTAGGGCTGATGACAGCAATGAAGGCAAAGTGACGAATTCAAATAGTGATGGTTGTTACTAGAAATTGGAAGTGTCACTGCATTTGGATGTAGCTGATATTTATGACACCAACTTGACCACCTGAGAATTTGACATTCCACATGATGTTATGTGAGCACATTTGGAGATTTTCTAGACCTGCAGCCTCTCTCCAGGCTTTCTGGTTCAAGTCAAGTTGGACTCTGATCACCTTCCTGCCGATATTTGTCTAGAATGCTCACTTTCTTTTCTGCAACCATCTTTGCTTGCTGTCTACACAACAAAATTAACATCACATACAATCCTGCTTTCTATTTGTAGCTCACCTTCCCATATTCTTACTGTTTTCCATAATCTTAACACAGTACATGCACTTTCTGGGTAAATTCTTCAGTTCATTGCCACAGAACATGAGATGAACAAGGCCTGAGCGTTAGCCTGAGTTGGTGCTGAAGGAAGAACTTCTGTGTTAGGTTGCGTTGTTGTCAGAGGGGCCCAAAGCAGACTCATTGGGCCAGGCGCGGTGGCTCACGCATGTAATCCTAGCACTTTGGGAGGCAGAGATGGGCAGATTGCTTGAAACCAGGAATTCAAGACCAGCCTGGCCAACATGGCGAAACCCCGTCTCTACTAAAAATACAAAAATTAGCCACGCCTGGTAGCACGCACCTCTAGGTTCAGCTATTCTGGAGGCTGAGGCACCGGAATCGCTTGAGCCTGGGAGGCAGAGGTTGCAGTGAGCTGTGATCGCACCACTGCACTCCAGCCTGGGAGACAGTGAAACTGTCTCAAAAAAAAAAAAAAAGTAGACTCATTGGAAGTGGGAATTAGAAATCAGACCCAAGATCAAGCCCAAGACTAGAAGCACAATACCCAGTTTCAGTTAAGTGAGAAGCCACCATCGGAAAACAAGGCAAGAAGCCAGAAGCCAAGGAGAAGAATAGAGAGTGCAAGAAAGAGTGACGGATTCGCAACACAGACAGCAACATAAGCAACAATGACAAGGCTCACTCATGGTGGGATGAATGGCATGGAGGCAGTTTTGCCAGTTTAGAATACAGGATTGGGCCAGACTTATATTTCCGTGCTCTGCATGTCTGCAAGCAGAAACCATGACATAAGCCATGTCAATGCGATGTGGTCTTCTGCTACAGTGGCAAACACAAGTGTGATGTGGAATCACAGAGACAGAGCTGTCAGAGGATTCTTGGGGAAGATGAGACTTAGACTAAGTTTCAAAGGAGAGCTAAGTGAGAAACAAAAGAAGATATATTCTAGGAAGAGGAACAGTGCAGGCAAAGACCTCTGCCTTGGTTGTAAAGCCGGTCAGAGAAGCCAACGGTGTGGGGGAAGCTTTTGGAGATAGGGCTGGGATTGATTATGTTGCTGCAAAAGTAATTGCTGTTTTTGCCATTGTTTTCAACGTCACACAGGGCTGCTGCGAAGAGGGGATGAGGTCACATGTTTCAGGCAATCAAGTTACAATCATGTTTTGGTGGCTGGTGTCTGCTCCTGGACTAGAATTTCAGGCAGGATGAAGGTCAAGCAACCAGACCAGGAACACTGGACCAGTGAAGAAACCGCATGTAGTTTCAACCCAAGCATTGCAGTCCTCCTGAGCTGTGGGGAAAACTCAGATGTGCTGAGTGTTTCTGAGGGAAGCAAAGTGTTCTTTCTGTAGACTAAAATTTGATAAGGATGAACTACAAGCATCAGGGAAGCTTTGCAAAGAAACAGGCAGCACCGAAAGTGCTTCAGAAAAATCTTACTGTCAACAATGAGAATGGCTGACTTTAGAAGAAATTTCTTTGCCTTTCTTGGCACTAAATACTGAAGGATCAAATCAGTGTAACAGACACATGGAAGTACAGTTGACCCTTGAACAACACGGGGGTTGTTGTCATATAACTTTTGACTCCCCAAAAACGTAACTACTAGTAGCCTACTGTTGTATTAGCCTTACTGATAATATAAACAGTCAAGTGACACATATTTTGCATATTATATGTGCTGTATACTGTATTCTTACAACAAAGTAAGCTAGAGAAAAGCAAATGTTATTAAGGAAATCATAAGGGAGAGAAAATACATTTACAGTACTGTGCTGTATTTATCAATATTGTAAGTTTCTTGTGGTCTGTCTACAAGATGAGTCATCTGCCAAAAGGGTGACAACCACAGTGCAGACCTCAGTCTATGGTACATATCAAGCAATTCAACTTTTTCTTGTAATGTCATGACTTCCCGCTGCTTTTTGGGAGCACTTCCAGGACACTTCATATGCATTCCATTGCGTTATGCAGGGTTTATGGTATTGCACTAAACACGATGAAAATATGCAAGAACTTCAAGAGATCGCTTTTTAGTGTGATGCGAAATTTACCAGGGAGAGGAAGTGCTCAAGGGGAAATGATTAGCATCACAATGCTTTTTTTTTTTTTTTTTGAAACGGTATCTCACTCTGTCTCCCAGGCTGGAGTGCAGTGGCGCCATCTCAGGTCACTGCAACCTCTGCCTCCTGAGTTCAAGCTATTCTTCTGCCTCAGCCTCCTGAGTACCTGGGATTACAGGTATGTGTCACCACGCCCGGCTAATTTTTATATTTTTAATAGAGACGAGTTTCGCCATGTTGGCCAGGCTGGTTTCAAACTCCTGGCCTCAAGCGATCCACCCACCTCGGCCTCCCAGAATGCTACACACAGCATTTTAAGTGGGTATTCACAACACTTGAGCTCACGGCAATAGCAACAGGAGATGGCTATGAAATGATTACAGTAGTATGGCGTTACTACAGTTAATTTTATGCAGTTATAATGCAATACTGCATTTTTACATTTGTTTACATTTCTCTCAACTACAAATGGCACCATATACATCCATAGTGTCTGTATGCACAAGTTTTGATAAATTTTAACTTTTTATAATAAATTTGTGTATATTTCATGGTGGTAAATTATAAAATAGACTAGTACCTACATATATTTTATGAATTCATGACATACCTAACATTTTCTTAATGTTTTCAATATTTCTAGGCTATGTGGTTCGTCGAGTTTTTCAATTTGTTGCAAATCTCAAAAAAAAATTCTAATATATTTGTTGGAAAAAATCTGCAAATAAACGGACCCACGAAGTTCAAACACATGCTCAAGGACGCTGTACCTATTTTACAGATAAGTTAGAACCTGATCAGGATTCCTTATTTAAGACATACTTACTTTATTTCTTAATTATGAAAACAGTATTTGCCATAAGTTGATTTCATTTGTTCAGATATCAGTGTGTTGTAAAATTATTCTTACCCCTAGAAACAAGAATTTAAGAGCCATCTCCTATCAATTACATGAAAACCCAGGAAAAATCATAAGCAAATTCCCGCTGCTATTATTAACACCTCTCATTGATCTAACGAGTATTATCTACTGTAACATGTCCCCCTCCTGCCTCAAGCTTCTGAGCTGTATCCTGCCTCCAAGAGCGTATGTCACATTGAGAAATACCAACAGATTTAAACAGATTTAACAAGACTTAATTAAGAAGTTCGAAAGTCTTTCCTAAAATTTAGATGCTGTCTTCCAAAGTCAAACCAAAATCATTGCTCATGTCTGTACTGATGACTTTCTCACCAGTGTGTGCAAGTTAGAGCCCACTGGAATTCTCCTACATTTTCAACACACCAGGTGACATCTTTACTTAGTTTCCGTCTATCGTCTCCACCCAGCAGGCCTAAAACATTGCCCTTCTCCCTTAATTAGTTCACGCTTTTAAACATCCTATTCCAACAAATACAAACCCTTTAGCACACGGTGTCTTACAGATACCAGGGGCTCTCTATATTATCTTCAAATGGCTGAATGATTGAGGGTACCCTAGACCTCTCTGCCTCTCTAGTCTCCTCTTCTTCCTCTCTGCCTCTTATGCACTCCCCTCCAGCCACATTGACTCCTGTTTCTCAAACACACTAAGCAGCATTCCAACATCAGGGCCTTTGCACTTTCTGTCCCCTTGGGCTCAATACCATTTTCCACCACATCCATATGGTTCATCCTCTGAGCTCCTTCAGGGCTCCTGAAATCTGACAACTTAGCAGTGAGCTCCTCCCCACCCATCAGGCTCAGCACAGCATCCCCCCAAACAGCCTCCATCTCTGCAACAACTCACAAGCTTCCCCCTTCATTGTTCTCCATGGCACTTATCAACAGCTGACATTTGCTTATTTCACTTGCATATTTGTTTGTCAGACTCTTCCATATAAACTCCATGAAAGCAATGTTTTGTTTACTGTGGTGTCCACAGTACCTAGGACAATGCATACATAGAGGACACTCAACTAACATTTGAACGAATGAACGAATGTTCAAGAAAAAAACTCAGGATCAGGGTGAAACAAACAAGAAATTACTAAAGTGAATTGGTTAGAGCTTTTGGGGGGAAATTTCCTCTTTCCTGGGACCTGGCGTGTGCATGTACACACAGCCAAGTAAATGCTATTGTGAAATTAGACTTTCTTTCTTAGGTCTTCAGGCTGTCCCATAAAGCATTTGAGACTCTAGGCTTTTAGCAATAATCGTGCTGATGCAGCTGAATTATAATATGGCAGAATGGATTTGGGCACTAGTGTGATGCTTTCAATGTAACAATGTGGTTGGTTTCTAAAGGACTAATTGGTGACATGGTGAAATCACTGGTTGCCCTGATATGATAAGGCCACCGGCCCCTGTGATCTACCCTTGTTGATAAGGATAAGGATTCCACCCAGCTGGTTCCTTTAGGGAGGTGCCCTGGCTATCTCTCTACAAGAGCCTGTAGAAACAGTACAAGCAGTAACTATTGCACCAGCCAGGACTGCTCCTGGAAATGTCATCTCTCCTCCCACTGGGCAATAAAGGACTCCACTTTTTCCAGGATCTGCCTGCACCCAACCCTTATCTAGAGCGGAAAGAAACCATAACCCTTAATTTCCTCCAAGGATCTTGACACCTCCCCACTCATTCCCCAGTGAGTCTCAGGAATACAGGTTTGTTTTCTTGTGAGAGTCTACGTCTCTTTGCAAAGGTCTGTTCTCTCAAAAGAAAAGGAATTTGCTTCAGTTCTGCTTCTGGAACTAGAAAGTCAGGTCTTCATCAAACTTATATACAAAGGGATAAAGTCACAGTTGCCATGACCTCAAAATAACATCAACAAATACTTACTGGGTGTAAGACATTGTGCTAGCTGCCATGAGGGAAGAAGAATGGATCTCTTTCCAAAGATCTTAAAAGACACAGACTCATTATCCATTAAAGAAATTAATTACTCATAGCACCCAGTGGAGCTCACTCTTCATGCCCATCTGATAAATGCTGGGACTCCAAGACAGGTTTCTGAGAGGATGCTAGCATTCTTGGGTGAAATGGTAAATGAGATATGGATTCTTCCAAACTATTCAGCTGCTATTGTCCTTCTCCATACCATAGGCCTGGAGCTGGTCCAGAGCTGGCTCAGCATGTAAATTCCTCCCCACCTAGCATTGCTGGCCTCTTTGAAGGGAGTGAGGGCTCTGTCCAAGGGAGCTTTCTGTCATGGGCTAGTCATGGGTAAAGGGCACCAAGACCTTGTCTACCTAGTGTCAGATGAGTGGCTGGGAGTGGAGGATGTCGCTTGACTGATCCTTGGTGGAGAGGGCTTCTGGCTTCATGGAAGGTTTGTCTCACTATCATTTAAGGAACTTAATGATAGTAGCTTTTCTCCTATCTTTAATAAAACTAAGTGTAGTAAAAAAAAATGGATAAATGGATAAGTGGATGGATAAATCCTAAGAAATCGGAATAAAACATTATAACAAGAAAAAGAGAGATGAATCCTGCTCTGGACCCTAGAGAAAGCAGGAACAGTGGGAGGACTGGGAAAGTCCAGGAGAATTTGGCGACATGGACCTCGCCTCTCTGTGAGCACACAGGTTTATGTTTGGTGAAAAATATTTTGAATGGGATGCCAGGTATTTTCACTTAGATTAAGCTCCAGCTTCTAGAACCTTCTGTACTTCTCATCCCCTTCAGTTTTCTTTGAACCTTAATAGAGAAGAGTGCCTTTTAATGAAATAAGATATTAAAGCTAGGCCAGGCAGAGTGGCTTACGCCTATAATCCCAGCACTTTGGGAGGCCAAGGCAGGAAGATCCCTTGAGCCCAGTTCAAGACCAGACTGGGCAATGTGGTGAAACCCTATCTTTACAAAAAATACAAAACTTAGTCAGACACAGTGGCATGTGCCTGTGGCCCCAGCTACTCCAGAGGCTGGGATGGGAGGCTCACTTAAGCCGGGGAGATAGAGGTTGCAATGAGCTGAGATTGTGACACTGCACGCTAGGCTAGGCAACAGAGCAAGACCCTGTCACAGAGAGAAAAAAAAAAGATACTAAGCACTGAGCTCTATGACGTTGTCAATATAATCAAAAGGCTTAGCTTTGTATGAGCTCCATTCTAAGAATCTGGGAGGGCTGAGCCTCTGCGAATATCCTGCTGTGCTGCCAGATGATGGGGCCATGCCTTGACCTTTTGGGTCACCACCAGAATAAAGCTGCAGATAGAAAATGTGGGTAGAGAGTGGAAGAAGGGATATCAGAGTGGGAAAAAGGACCTCCAACTTCAATCTGAGAGAATTTTACAAGAAAAGTAATTAAGGCTATGCACCACACTCAGGTGTATTCTAGACCAGGGGTTGGCAAACCGTGACCCACTGCTAGCTTTTGTACCTAACATTTGACTGGAAGACAGCCACAATCTGTTTTTTCCTTATTGTCTATGATAATTTTGTGCTTCAGAAGTAGAGCTGAGCAGTTGTGTTACAGACCGTATGGCCCAAAAGTTAAAACTATTTACAATCTGGCCCTTTACAGAAAAAGTTTGCCAACCTCTGGCTTCAAACATGAGTGAGAGTTCTACCAGCCTGACTTGTACTTTTGGTCAGAAGAGTAAGGTTACTCCAGGGATTTCCAGCTTTTTCCTTCCTACCTATTCCCCTTTGTTGAAATTGCCTGTAATTCCTCCAGCTCCACTCCCCTGTTTCATTAGACCTAGAGTTGGAAGGCTGTGTGCACTTGGAGCTGCACACATCTATCTGTGCAGCGGGTACCATGAAGGGGAGATTAACACCAGCTTCTTTTTTTGAGACAGAGTTTCGCTCTTGTTGCCCAGGCTGGAGTGCAATGGCACAATCTCAGCTCACCGCAACCTCCACCTCCCGGGTCCAAGTGATTCTCCTGCCTCAGCCTCCCGAGTAGCTGTGATTACAGGCATGCACCACCACACCTCGCTGATTTTGTATTTTTAGTAGAGACGGAGTTTATCCATGTTGGTCAGGCTGGTCTTGAACTCCCGACCTTAGATGATCCACCCACCTTGGCCTCCCAAAGTGCTGGGATTACAGGTGTGAGCCACTGCACCCTGCCCCACCAGCTTCCTTTTTTTTTTGAGACAGGCTCTCGCTCTGTCACCCAGGCTGGAGTGCAGTCCATGGCTCATTGCAGCCTCAAACTCCTGGGCTCAAGAGATCCTCCTACCTCAGTCTCCTGAGTAGCTTGGACTACAGGCATGCACCACCACACCTGGCTAATTTTTTAATTTTTTTGTAGAGATAAGGTCTCACTATGTTGCTCAGGCTGGTCTGGACCTCTTGAGCTCAATCAATCCTTCTGCCTTGGCCTCCCAAAGTGCAGAGATACAGGTATGAACCGCCGTGCCTGGCCAACACCAGTTTCTTTAGAAATGAAAGAGTGAATATATAGTTTAAGAAAAGCAGTTCCCTGTATTCTTCTGTAAACATTGAGAGTTTATTTTATTTTTCCTCCAATGTCCTATGTGTTTCATCAATAATCACAATAATCTTCATAACATTGCATGGTTTGGCATGATGTTTTTCTTATTAAAATAAAAATAAAGCTGAAGCCATCATTCTCAGCAAACTAACACAAGAACAGCAAACCAAACACCACGTTCTCACTCAGAAGTGGAAGTTGAACAATGAGAACACATGGACAGAGAGAGACGAACAACACACACCAGGGCCTGTCGGGGGTAGGGGGTGAGAGGAGGGAGAGCATTAGGACAAATGGCTAATACATGTGGGGCTTAAAACCTAGATGACGGGTTGATAGGTGCAGGAAACCACCATGGCACACGTATATCTATGTAACAAATCTACACATTCTGCACTTGTACGCCAGAACTTAAAGTAAAATAAAAAATAAAATAGAAAATAGCTAATATTTATTGAGCTCTTACTAAATGCTAGTCCCCATTCTAAGAGCTTTATGTGAACTATCCTAGTGAACCCTCATTATTGCCCCAAGAGATAAGGACTCTTATCATCATCATTTTACAGATAAGCAAACTGAGGAGGAGAGGGGTTAAGTAATTTGCCCATGGTCAGACTCACAGTAAGTAGAGAAACAGGGTTTCAAACCACTCCTAAGCTATGACCTTGGCCACTCTGTTATGTACTACTTGCCTCAAGAAACGTGAAAATAAACTTAACTAAAAAGTCTAATTAGGAAATAAATTCTCATTAGGCATTCAACATTCAAGTATCTATCAAGTGCTAATACCAAATGTTAATATGGAAGGACAATATTAATTTTTTTTTTAAGATGGAGTCTCACTCCGTCACCAGGCTGGAGTGCAGTGGCGCAATCTCGACTCACTGCAACCTCCGCCTCCCAGGTTCAAGTGATTCTCGAGCCTCAGCCTCCCCAGTAGCTGGGACTATAGGCACGCACCACCACGCCCAGGTAATTTTTGTATTTTTAATAGATACGGGGTTTCACCATGTTGGCCAGGATAGTCTCGATCTCTTGACCTCGTGATCCACCTGCCTCGGCCTCCGAAAGTGCTGGGATTACAGACGTGAACCACCGCACCCGGCCGACAATATTAATTTTTTATCTACATTGATCTATGATTTTTCAGATAAATATCTTGAGACTAAATTTCAAAAACCTGTAACTTTTAGTAATTTTTATTTTCTTCTGGGCCTTTATTGGACTTTGATTTCTTTTTTGGATTGGGAAGCATTTTTAAGTCATTCTTATCAAACTCAATTATGTAAGATTATCACACACTAGTGATTTTTTTCATTACATCCAAAGTAAAGACAGTGAAAAAAAGCAAGGCAACTACATCTTTTTCCATATTTTATTTAACTATATTTGTCAAGATACTTGCAAAGCCTTTGGAGGTCTAGGAACATCTCAGTGTCAGCAACATTTCCATTCTTGCACTTCAAGCTCTACTGATTCATCAGGGGCCTCCAAGTAGCAAGTTCTTCTTTGTTTGTGGATTCAAAAGATCAGTTAACAATATAACTCATTCATGACATTTCAGTTAACAACTTTCAAAAAGAAGCTTTTTAAATTAGAACGAATGTCCTAAAAAAGAATAGAAATAGGCTCTGCTAGAAGTAGAACCCTCAAGTTCTCCTCCACAGAATCACACCTGAAAGTTTCCAATGATTCCACCAGAGAATTTCCTCCGGTTTTAATTAATATTGTAGGGTGGAGATACTATATGCTGGAGACTTTTATATCTGTGTTTGATGTTACAACAAATACAGTTTGAAAAACATTTTTTTAAACACATGAATTGATGGAGCTTCCCCTTCCCGGTCTGGTGTATAAGGAAGGAGCTTGGAAGTCTTTACTCCATCCTAAAACAGGTAAAAAGCTGATCAAACTGAATGTCAACAAACTGCTTAGATCTGTCAGAGAAGTAAGGTTACAGGGTAAACTGCTGCCCCTAAAATTGGAGCAACTAACAGACAGATACAGAGAATTACAACTTACCAGAACAGAAACCCACAGCAGAAATCTCAGGAAGTAGTGCTATGGTAGGTAAACCTGAACTGAATTCCATAAATTGCTAGAGGCTCAGTGAGGACAAGTCCAAGAGTTTAAATTCCAGGGGACCCAGTTATGAGGGGCTTCCATAATTTGTGAGTTTTACCTCCAAGAGATCAGCCAGGTTCTCATAATGAGTATCAGAGAAAAATTCCCTCACGCCTCCACCAGGGGGAGGAGAAAAGGAACCATTTTTAAATATAAAAATATACCAGAGTATTCTGTTCTTGACAAGGCCTGCCCTCAGAAGAAGCTATTTTATGAGAGTCTAAACTGCTGGAGTCTTATCCCAGCCCAACTTACCTGGGAGAAGAGAAATAACCAACTCCAGCTCCCTCCAGCTTTCCTAACTCACCCTATGAGGCTAGCTTAACACTAGTACCAAAACCAAAGACATTACAAAAAAAAGAAAATTATAACCGTGAATACAGATATAAACACTCTCAATAAAATATTAGTAAATCAAATCCAACAATGTATACAAAGAAATATACACCGTAACTGACTGGTATTTTTCCCAGGTATTCAAGGCTGATACAACATTCAAAACCAATTAATATAATCCAACATATCAACAGGCTAAGGAAGAAAAATTACATTTTCACAATAATAGATACAGAAAAACATTTGACAAAATCTACACTCATTTATGATAAAAAAAAAACTCTCAAAAAAAAAAACTAGAATGGAGGAAGACTTCCTTAACTTGATTTTTTAAATCTATGAAAAACCTACTGCTAACATCATACTTAATGGTGAAAACCTTGAAGCTTTTCCACTAAGATCAGGAAAAATACAATAATGTTCCCTCTCACCACTCCTTTTCAACACCATACTAGAAGTCTTAGCCAATGTAATAAAACAAGAAAAGGAAATATATGATACACAGATTGGAAAGAAAGAAATAAAATTGTCTTTGTTAGCAGGTGACAAGGTTGTCATGTAGGAAAATTGGAAAGAATCAACAGAAAAACCCTTTTGGAACTAATAAGCAATTATAACAAGGTTGTATAATACAAGGTTAATATATGAAAGTAAATTACTTTCCTAAATATCAATAATGAACAAGGAGTATTGAAATTAAAAACACATTACCATTTATACTCGCACCTCAAAAATGAAATACCTAGATATAATCTAACAAAGCATGTACAAGATCCACATGAGAAAAACTACAGAACTATGATTAACGACATCAAAGAAGAACAAAATAAATGGAGAGACAGTCCATGTTCATGAATAGGAAGATGCACTATTGGTAACATGGATAGGAAGATGCAGAAGACGCACTATTGCAACTTAATCTATAGATCCAATGCAATATCAATCAAAATCTCTACAAGTTATTTTGTGGATATTGACAAACTGATTCTAAACTTTATATGGAGATACAAAAGACCCAGAATAGCCAATTTAATATTGAAGAACAAACTCAGAGGACTAATATTACCCCCAATTTCAAGGCTTATCATAAAGACACAGTAATCAAGATAATGTAATATTGATTAAAGAATAAATTAATCAATGGAACAGAATAGAGAACAAACATATAAACCCACATAAATAGAGTCAACTGATCTTTGACAAGGGAGCAAAGGCAATACAATGAAGCAAACACAGTCTTTTCAACAAATGATGTTAGAGCAACTGGACATACACATGCAAAAAAAAAAAAATGAATCTAAACATAGACCTTACACCCTTCACAAAAATTAGCTCAAAATGAGTCATAGACCTAAATGTAAAGTGTAAAACTATAGAACTCATGGAAGATAACACAGGAGAAAGCCTACATGACCTTAGGTATGGTGATGACTTTTTAGATACGGCTCCAATGGTAAAATTCATTTTAAAAAATTGATAAATTAAACTTTATTGAAACTAAAAACTTCTGCTCCGCAAAAGACAATGTCAAGAAAATGGAAAGATAAGTCACAGACTGAAGAAAATATTTACAAAGACATGTCTGATGAAGGGCTCTTTTCCAAAATACATGAAGAACTATTAAAGCTCAACAGTTAAAAAAATATGGGCAACCAACTTAAAAATGAGGAAAAGACTGGAACAGACACATTACCAAGGAGATTATACAGATGTCAAGTAAGCATAATAAAAGATGCTTATGCTTATTAAAACATCATATGTCATTAGGGAATTGAAAATTAAAACAATGAGATACCACTATATATCTATTAGAATGGCCAAAATCCAGAACAAGGACAATACCAAATGGTGATGAGGATGTGGAGCAACAGGTACTCTCATTCGTTGCTGATGGAAATGCAAAATGGTACAACCACATTGGAAGACAGTGTGGCAAGTTTTTCCAAAACTCTGACAATATGATTTAGCAATATCCCACATCCTATTTACCCAAATGAATTGAGAACTTATGTATACACAAAAACCTGTATGTGGGTATTTATAGCAGCTTTATAGGTGCCAAAACTTGGAAGCAACCAGGATGTCCTTCAGGAGGTGAATGGATAAATAAACTACTGTGGTACATCTAGACAACAAAATATTATGGAGGAAAAGAACAAGCTATGAAGTCATGAAAAGACATGAAGTAAACTTAAATGCATATAACTAAGTGAAAGAGGTCAATCTTAAAAGACTACGTACTGTATGATTCCAACCCTATGACATTCTGGAAAAGGGAAAACTATGAAAGCAGTAAAAAGATTAGTGGTTTTCAGGGACTGGGGGACAGAGAAAAATGAATAGCCAGAACACAGAGGATTTTTTTTTTGAGACAGAGTCTCGCTCTGTCACCCAGGCTGGGGTGCAGTGGTGCGATCTCGGTTCACTGAGGCCTCTGCTTCCCAGGTTCAAGTGATTCTTGTGCCTACTGAGTAGCTGGGATTACAGGCCCTCACCACCATGCCCAGCTAATTTTTGTATTTTTAGTAGAGACAAGTTTTCACCATGTTGCCCAGGCTGGTCTTGAACTCCTGACCTCAAGTGATCCGCCTGCCTCGGCCTCCCAATTTGCTGGGATTATAGGAATGAGCCACCGTGCCCAGCCCACAGAGGATTTTTAAAGTGGTAAAACTATTCAGTATGATACTACAATGCTGGATACTTACCAGTACACAACTTTCAAAGCCTATAGAATGTCCAACACCAAGAGTGAACCCTAATGTAAGCTGAGGACTTTGGGTGATAATGATGCATCAATGTAGGTTCATTAATTTTAACAAATATGCCACTTAGTGGGGGATGTTGATTGTGGGGGAGGCTGCAGGGAAGGGCAGAGGGACTAGAATATACAGGCACTTTCTGTAGTTTCTGCTCAATTTTTCTGTGAACCTAAAACTGCTCTACAAAGGGTTAATAATAATAATAATAAATAATTTAAAAAACATAAGAGAACCTGAAAAGAAAACCAAAACAGCCTCCTTTGTATTAATATCCGATTAAAGCATTCTTAACAAGCCAGGAATGCTGATGGCCAGCAAAGTAGTGTCCCCATTACCACTAATTACTGTTCAAGGCATCATTCTCCCGAAGTTCTGAATATTGATTAAGACCGGAGGGAAAACAATGACACTTGAAATTGATTTGACCTGCTTAGAAGAAGAAAATCTCAGCCCAGTTCTCCATAGGTTTTCAGTTTATGCTGTCGTCTCTCAGTTTGAGGTTAACAGCCAAAGTTGAGACACACACAAGACCAAAATTATGTCTTTGGAGAGTCCACTCTGCTGGCAAACCTTTTCTCTCTCTGACGTTCTCTCTGGAAGAGAATTCATTCATTTCAGAGTTCTCTGTTTCCCACTGGAATGCTGACTACATTCCATGCCAGAAATAAACCATCATTCTACAAAAACTTTCAGGAGAAAATTAAATTCAGCATATTCTAAAGGCAGAAAGCATTAGTCCTTTCTGATATTTTTAATTTTTTTTCTTTTTTTTCCTGCAAATCTAGTCTCTATGTTAAAAACCAGAGTGCATTTTCTAGAAAAGAAAGAAAAATATCATCACAACACAAAATAATGACAATGTGGACAAAATGTATGACAATGTGGACATAAATAGCTTTATAGTGCTGACTTCACTGAAATATATCAGACCAGTTCTGCATTTGGAGACCTGGACTGTAATGTGAGGAAGGTGCATTGCCTGCCTTGTTTCTGCAAGAGTGATGCTTAAAAAAAGCAGAAAAAGGATGGAATTGGGAGTGGGGAGAACAGAGTGTCAATCCTGGCTCCATTGCCAGGGCTGTTGTGGTGCTGATCCACATTTACTTTGTCACTTGTGAATCAGCCCTGGTAATAGTTGCCCTACATACCTCACAAAACTGTTGTAAAATGAGGTACTATAAATAAAAGTACTCTGAGAAAACACAAACGTAGTAAACATATCATACCTGGACTTATCCAGGATGGCCCTATGCAAAATAACGATGTAGGTGGCATTTGCCTAAGCATATTCACTTTCTCACTGGTGTCTCTTAAAGAATTCCCTCCTTTGTCAAATATCCCAGGAACTGTTGCAACCATGTTTCCTCTCTCCTGCTATCATTTTACCCATCACCCCATGATCACTGAATCCTCTGCACTCCCTCAAAACTACAGCCTCAATGGTTTCCAACTTTTTATGGAGACCATTAGCCAGACAATGGTGTCATGTCCATGTGATCATGGAGATGGCTGGGGATGACAATCCTTCTCACCCCCTTTCAGTGATCCCATATTGAATATTTTTTAACACTTACTAAGCTCCCAGTTTTGTTGTATGACCCAGAGGGGTAATTCTAAGGGTAGAAACCTTAGTTTAAAAAGTTTAAAACAATGACAAGTTGGCAACAAGATGAGGGAGGCATTTTAGAAGAGCCAATGCCCAGTCAATATCTGAGATCACTCTTAGAGTTGTTTTTGTCCACTCTGCCATCTTGCTATGCTGACCACATGGCTATACCCCTAGAGAAGAATTTCCCAGAACTACATGAGCATCTGCAGAACAGACAGAAAGCCAGGGACTTCCATTCCACACATCCCCTTTGGTGGCCAGAGGTCCTGGATGTGCCAGAGCAGCAGCGTGAAAGAGTTATTTGCTTCATGGAGACAAAAGGATTCATCCCACAGACTGCTTATGAGCACAAGCAGGAGCCCTCCACATTCTCACACACTTACATTGGTCTCATCTTCACTGACTTCCAGAGAACCAATCACATCTTAGGACTTTAATACCAGATGAACCATAGCAATCATCTCATTCAAATTTGAGACAAAATCCCAAAAGAAGTTAAAAGATTTGCCCAAGATTACATGCTTCCTCCATGGCAGACAAAATAGAGCAAATTTCTGTCATATGAACTTTGATTTGGGTGAATTAAGGAAGCTCTACAATCATCATTATTTTGATCATTAATATTTATTAATCACTTGCTATAATATTTCATGGAATCTAAGACCCACTAATCATAAGGCTCACCATTATTTTGTGGACCTCCAAGACAGAAAGAAAATGCTAACAATTACATCATTACCTCATTGATCGTTAAGACATATTTCAGAGATGTTAAAGTGTGAATCTCAGAATCAGTGAAAAACAGTATGTACCAAGTTCTTGATGTACCTAATGGTGTTTATTCTCAAAACAAATAGACACTATTATTTGACCCATTTTTTTTTTCAGATGAGGAAATAAAGGCTTAAATTTTTCCTAAGTAAGAGAGCTGAGTCAAATCCATGCCTATCTATCTCCAGGGTCCAAACTTGTAACCACTATGGCTCTCTGAGGCGTATAAGTATCTTGGAACAGAACAGAAAGGGGACCGTGGGACAGGACCCAAGTGGATCTCAAATATATCGACTCTCATCTCTCCCACCTGTAGTTTTTCATGACAATAAGTACAATGATCTTTTCTCCCCACCATATATTATATGCAAGGTTACACTTCCTTTTGCTTGTGCCCATATCTGCTAGCAGTTCCCAGAGTACAGAGCTCAATTCAAAATTGACCCACTGCCTTCCTCTTATAATGGGCATAATATTCTGAGAAGCAGTCAAATTTTCTGGGACTTAGAGGCTCATTATTCTCTAAACTCTTTTGTGTCTGAAAATTTTTATAAGAGGTTTTTTGTTTTTTTTTTAAGATCAGTTACAAGGTAGGCACAGTGGTGTGCACCTTGTAGTCCCAGCTACACAGGAGGCTAGAGTGGGAGGATCACTTGAGTCCAGGAGTTGGAGTCCAGCCCAGACAACGTAGTGAGATCCTGTTTCTAACAATAATAAGGCCAGGGTCAGCAGTAAACACCTGTAATCTCAGCACTTTAGGAGGCCGAGGTGGAAAGACAGCTTGAGCCCATGAGATCGAGACTAGCCCTGGCAACATAGTGAGACCCTGTCTCTACAAAAACTAAAAAAAATTAACCAGGCGTGGTAGTGCATGCCTGTAGTACTAGCTCCTTTGGAAGGCTGAGGCAGGAAGATTGCTCAAGGCTGGGAGGTCAAGGCTGCAATGAGCTGTGGTCACGTCACTGCACTCTAGCCTGGGTGATACAACAAAACTAGGTCTCCAAAAAAAAAAAAATCAGTTACAATTCTATATAGTAATAGTCAGCATTTATTAAACCTTTGTTATTTACCAAAGCACTAATCATGCTTAAGGTCATATATCTAAAAAATGGCCCACTCCTAAAATATATCCACAAGATGCTGTGTACATACAGTGGACAGGGTAGCTTATTCTTTCTTAGGCTTTATAGCAGAAAAGGTTGGATGAAAGTCTTGAGGGAAAAAACATGGTTCAATGTCAGGAAGACATGAGAAAGAAAACTGCATGTACAAAAAGACAAAAAGGAGGAATCTTTAGGGAAAGACTTTCGAAAACTGCAAGTGTCAATTCCTAAGCAACATTTCACACAAGTTCGGCTCATGACAGAAGGCCAGTGTTTCTCTCAGCACTCCACCTTTTTTTAATAATAATTTCAACTTGTACTTTAGATTTGGGGGTTACATGTATACGTTTGTTACATGGGTACACTGCATGATGCTGAGGTTTGAGGTATGAATGATCCCATCACTGAGATAATGAGCATAGTACCCAAGAGGTAGTTTTTCAGTCCTTGTCCCCCTCCCTCTCTCTTTACTGTAGTAGTCCCCAGCGTCTATTGTTCCCATCTTTCTGTCTATGTGCATCCAGTGTTTAGCTCCCACTTGTAAGTGAGAACATGTAGTATTTGGTGTTGCTTTTTGGTGGTCCCACTGGAGTGCAGTGGCATAATCATGGCTCACTGCAGCTTCAACCTCCTGGGCTCAAGGAATCCTCCCACTTCAGCCTCCCAATTAGCTGGGACTACAAGGGCATGCCGTCACATATGGCTACTTTTTTTTTTTTTTTTTTTGTATATTTTGTAGAGATACAGTTTCACCATGTTGCCCAGGCTGGTCTCGAATTCCTGGGCTCAAGAGATCCACCTGCCTCAGCTTCCTAAAGTGCTGGGATTACAGGCCTGAGCCACCGAACCTGGCCTCAGTATCTGGTTTTATATTTCTGTGTTAATTTGCTTAGTATAATGGCCAGCTGCATTCATGTTGCCACAAAGGACATGATTTTATTCTTTTTTTATGGGTGTGTAGTATTCCATGGTGTATATGTACCACATTTTCTTTATCCAGTCCACCACTGATGGGCACCTAGGTTGATTCCATGTTTTTGCTATTTTGAATAGTGCTATCATTAACATATGAGTGCATGTGTATTTTGGGCAGAACAATTTATTCTCCTTTGGATAGATACCCAGTAATGGGATTGCTGGATTAAATGGCAGCTCTGTTTTAAGTTCTTTGAGAAATCTCCAAACTGCTTGCTGCAGTGGCTGAACTAATTTACATTCCTGCCAACAGTGTATTCCCACCTAAGGGAACAGTGAAGCATTCCCTTTACTGCACAGTCTCACTAGCATCTGTTAGTTTTTAACTTTTTAATCATAGCCATTCTGAGTGCTGTGAGATGGTATCTCATTATGGTTTTAATTTGCATTTCTCTAATAATTAGTGATGTTGAGCATTTTTTCATATGTTTTTTGGCCACTTGTATGTCTTCTTTTGAAAGGTGTCTGTTCATGTCCTTTGCCCACTTTTTTTTTTTAATTATACTTTCAGTTCTACAGTACATGTGCACAACATGCAGGTTTGTTACATAGGTACACATGGGCCATGTTGGTTTGCTGCACCCATCAGCTCGTCATCTACATTAGGTATTTCTCCTAATGCTATGCCTCCCCCAGCCCCCTACCCCACAACAGGCCCCAGTATATGATGTTCCCCTCCCTGTGTCCATGTGTTCTCATTGTTCAACTCCCACTTACAACTGAGAACATGCGGTGTTTGGTTTTCTGTCCTTGTGCTAGTTTGCTGAGAATGATGGTTTCCAGCTTCATCCATGTCCCTGCAAAGGACATGAACTCATCCTTTTTTATGGCTGCATAGTATTCCATGGTGTATATCTGCCACATTTTCTTTATCCAGTCTATTATTGATGGATATTTGGGTTGATTCCAAGTCTTTGCTATTGTGAATAGTGCTGCAATAAACATACATGTGCATGTGTCTGCATGTGCCTTTATAGTAGCATGATTAATAATCCTTTGGGTATATACCCGGTAATGGGATTGCTGGGTCAAATGGTATTTCTAGTTCTAGATCCTTGAGGAATTGCCACACTGTCTTCTACAAAGGTTGAACTAATTTACACTCCCACCAACAGTGTAGAAGCGTTCCTGTTTCTCCACATCCTCTCCAGCATCTGTTGTTTCCTGACTTTTTAAAGATCACTATTCTAACTGGCATGAGATGGTATCTCACTGTGGTTTTTATTTGCATTTCTCTGATGACCACTGATGATGAGCATTTTTTCATGTGTCTGTTGGCCGCATAAATGTCTTCTTTTGAGAAGTGTCTGTTCATATCCTTTGCCCACTTTTTGATAGGGTTGTTTGATTTTTTTCTTGTAAATTTGTTTAAGTTCTTTGTAGATTCTGGATATTAGCCCTTTGTCACATGGATAGATTGCAAAAATTTTCTCCCATTCTGTAGGTTGCCTGTTCACTCTGATGACAGTTTCTTTTGTTGTGCAGAAGCTCTTTAGTTTAATTAGATCCCATTTGTCTATTTTGGCTTTTGTTGTCATTGCTTTTGGTGTTTTAGTCATGAAGTCTGCCCATGCCTATGTCCTTCGTGGTATTGCCTAGGTTTTCTTCTAGGGTTTTTATGGCTTTAGGTCTTACATTTAAGTCTTTTTAATGTTAATTTTAAGTTAATTTTTGTGCAAGGTGTAAGGAAGGGATCCAGTTTCAGCTTTCTACATATGGCTAGCCAGTTTTCCCAGCACCATTTATTAAATAGGAAATCCTTTCCCCATTTATTGTTTTTGTCAGGTTTGTCAAAAATCTGATGGTTGTAGATGTGTGGTGTTATTTCTGAGGCCTCTGTTCTGTTCCATTGATCTATATATCTGTTTTGGTACCACTACCATGCTGTTTGGTTACTGTAGCCTTGTAGTATAGTTTAAAGTCAGGTAGCATGATGCCGCCAGCTTTGTTCTTTTTGCTTAGGATTGTCTTGGCTATGTGGGCTCTTTTTTGGTTCCATATGAACTTTAAAGTAGTTTTTTCCAATTCTGTGAAGAAAGTCATTGGTAGCTTGATGGGGATAGCATTGAATCTATGAATTACCTTGGGTCCTTTGACCACTTTTAAATAAAGTTATTTGGTTTTTGCTTAAGTTCCTTATGGATTCTGGATATTAGACCTTTGTTGGATGCATAGTTTGTGAATATTTTTCCCATTCTGTATGTTGTCTGTTTACTCTGTTGATAGTTTCTTTTGCTGTGCAGAGGCTCTTTAATTAGATTCTACTTGTCAATTTTTGTTTTTGTCTTAACTGTTTTGAGCATGTATTCATAAAATCCCTGCCAAGGCTGATGTCCAAAATGGTATTTCCAAGGTTTTCTTCTAGAGTATTCCACCTTTTTAATCCATGAACTCATATGCCTTTTAAGTATTCTCAAGGAGCTCTCTTCAGACATAGAATTGACTCACTTGTGTTCACACAGAGAATGAACACCTTATCCTGCCCACATCTGGAGTGGTTTTCTGGGAAATCTTGTGTGGTGTGCATGTCTTTACACACCTGCCCGGAAAAAAGATGAATCAGGCCTCAAGGAATTCCTCTCCCTCTCAGCATTCAGAGAGAACTGAGGCTTAGCTTGTCTATCAGAAACAAAACCGGAAAACAAAACAAAAAAAGTTTGAGGGTTTAGCATTTCCATAAGGGCTAAAAATAATTTTTAAACTACTTTGCTTTAAAAGAAAGATGAAAGGAAGGAAGGAAGGAAGGGAGAAAGAAAAGAAAGAAAGAAAGAAAGAAAAGAAAGAAAGAAAGAAAGAAAGGAAGGAAGAGAAAGAAAGAAAGAGAGAAAGAAAAGAAAGAGAGCGAAAGAAGAAAGAAAGAAAAGAGGCAGAAAAGAAAAAGAGAAAGAAAGAAAAGGGAAAAGAAAGAAAGAAAAGAGAAAAGGAAAGGAAAGCAAAGCAAGAAAGCAAGCCTGGTGATTGCTAAAGTAGCAGAATCTTAAATCTTCCATCTCAAATGAGTGGACTGTGCTGAGGCCCATTCCGCCTGGAGTTCATGTTCGGAGGTCTGTGGGAGCCTCTCAGGTGGCTGGCCCTCAATTGGCAGCAGAAGCAGCAGCTGAGCAGGTGGCGGGGCAGAGACAGGGTAGGGGATGGGAATGGAAAGGGATGGAGAAAGAAGAATGAAGACAGTAAAAGCAGACTCAGGACAGAGTGAATATTTGCTGAAAAGTCAATGGATTAGCAGTCCCTTGTGATGGCTGAAGAGTTCAACGACAAAGATCAGCTGAAAAATTGATGCCGAATTCTCTAAAGGGATGCTCTATCCATAGGAGCTTGGACATGTCAGTCTTTCTAAAAGCATTTTCAAATATTGTCTTGAAATAGCATTAAATAAATTATGGTATTTTCAGAATATTTGGCTTTATTTTTAATACACATTCATAATTCTTCTATCTACCCAAATCACTGCCCCACTACAAATAAGAAAAATACATTTATAAGAATATTAAAGTTACTGTCCCACAGTGCTGTCTTTTTTTCCATTTGGGGTATGGATTTGACGCCCTGGAATATTTCCATTGGAATATCACCTATTCATCTACCTTGATCATCACAGTGACAGCCGAGGGAAGCCAGGCAGTCAATAGATAGGTCTAAAATACAAAGTTGATGAGAAGGGTGGAGTTTGCAAATGGAAGTAATTACACTCATTAGTCCAAAGCAGAGAAAAAAAAGAAACCCCAGCCCAGAGTTCATTAGAATAGAAAAGGTTTTTCTTAATGAAAGGATATCATGAAACTGACATTTAAAAATGGAATGGACTTTTAAATCATAAGAGATAATACCGTTGTCAAGAGAGCACCAGTGCAGAAGTTGATTTCGAATTCTTGGTAAGGTCACAATCTACAGTGTCCTGGATATGTTCAGTAGATCCTTTTTTCTTTTTTTTGAGATGGAGTCTCACTCTGTCGCCCAGGCTGGAGTGCAGTGGCACGATCTCAGCTCACTGCAACCTCCGCCTCCTGGGTTCAAGCGATTCTCCTCCCTCAGCCTCCCAAGTAGCTGGGATTACAGATGTGTGCCATCACGCCCAGCTAATTTTTGTATTTTTAATAGAGAAGGGGTTTCATCATGTTGGCCAGGCTGGTCTCAATGACCTCAGGTCATCCACCTGCCTCAGCCTCCCAGAGTGCTGGGATTACAGGCGTGAGCCACTGCTCCTGGCCTCAGTAGATCCTTTTAGCTAACTTTTTCCACTTGGTTTGTGCATTTCTTCACCATGCTGAGCTGACAGATACGTATAAGCTATGTGGTATAGAGGCAACTTTTTTTTTTTTCAGGCAACCTCAAGAGGGCTGAAAAAGTTTATAAAATGTTCTGGAGATGCATTCATTGAGGCTCAGTAACTAAAGCTTAACTCAGCCTTTGAGGAATTTATGCTCCTCTTGAGAATCAGCTTTGCCCCTTTGTCTTGCTCAGCCCACTGGTGGGGGTCAATGGGCACACAAGAACTCCCATGGCAACAGCAGGTGCTTCTCATTCAAATTCAAACTGGTCAGTTTCTTTCCTTTGTTCACTCTGCTCTCCTAAAACCATCATCCCAGTCTCCTTGCTGCAAAACTTGCCAAGTCATGAGAGGTAAGTCATAAAAAGTTGAACGCTTGACTTTTCGGGCTTTATAGATAGGTTTGTTTGCAGATACGCAGCATTAAAGAGAATTTAGCTACCTGTCATTTCTCTGACAGCGCACCCCAAGGTTGTGAACCCCTCAGACATGTCCAGTTCTTCTCTTACAACCAAACCTGTCTTCCCAGACACTTCTGAATGAGGAGGCCTAGGAAGAAAGAGGAAAAGAGAGAGAGAAAGTGTGCACGCACAGGCGCACAAACACAAAATCCGGCTTCCACGGAGGACAGCAGCAGCCTGCTGCACAGTGGGGACCAAGAGATACAAGGCTGCCCATGTAACAGATGCAAGTTTCCCGTGCTCCGGTTCAGCTGGGAATGCAGGCTGTAAAGCTGAAATAAATCACATGGAACTTGCTGTCATCTCTCTACCTTCCTGCTAAACCCTTCGACACTGCCGCTTGACTGGCTGGAGTCGTCGTAGTTTTTAAATGAAGGCTGGAAACTGGCATTGGCAGCACTGCCTAATTTTTAGCTAATACCTTTGTGGGTTCTGCGCTCGCATCTGGCCAGTGCCATCATGCTGGGGATGATTATAATAGGCTGCTGCTCTTTCCCAAGCAGGAAGCTGGAGTCCTGTAACTGACAGGCTAAACAGAAGCTTGTTCCAAACACAACAGCACATCACAGCCAGAGAAGGGTCTGCGGTGCGGGACTTCTCCCAAGGCATAAAAAAGAGAGAGAGAGAGAGAGAGAAATGTGTTAACTGTGCTAACAGTGCCAAGTAATATGCTTCGTTAAAAATTTAATCACCTACAAGTGCAAAACAAGTGCAAAGCAATCATGTTGTAATTAGCACAGCAATTAACACCTCCCTTTTCGATAGCACATGCATCCTAGGAAGGGCAGGATTGCAAGTGTTTATGCTGCTGACAGCCTCAGTTCCTATAGAGAGGGAAAAAATTGCTTAAAGAGAATTTTTTGGTTTCTGGCATTTGGGCTTTTATGTGTTCATGAAACCTCAGAACCAGCTGCCATTTTGGTTTTGTGTGAAAGTTGTTCAGCTGTGTGGTAAAACTAACTAACTTCCCCATTTTGTGTGTTAGCTAAAGCTTCTCACTAGCACCACCTTCACCTTTTCTAACATTAAAATATAAATAAATTAGTATTAGGACCAAATTTGTCATGTATATCCACACAATTTGCATGCGAAATGGTGCTTCCTACCAAAAGAAAAAGAGAATTGTCTTCCTCAGTCCTTTATCCGAAGCCAAAATTAAAAAAAAAAATACTCAATAACAGGATAAATGACTACTGGAAAAATGCTCTAAAAGTATTCCTGCCAAAAAATAAATAAAAATAAATAAAAGTATTCTTTCTATCACTTTAGAAAATTAGGTGTCTTCTATGTCACCAAGACCAGTTTTAAGGACTAAGCATCAGTTTTTGTTTGTTTGTTTGTTTGTTTGTCTGTTTTAATTTTACTTTAAGTTCCAGGATACATGTGCAGAACGTGCAGGTTTGTTACATAGGTAAGCACGTGCCATAGTGGTTTGCTGCACCGGGTCTTTGCAGTAAGCATCAGTTCTCTAAGGAAGTCAGGGAAGGAAGGAAGGTGGAGGATCCTTCTGTACCATCTCATATCAAGCCCAAGTCCAATAACTGGTCTAGATAGAACGTGGCACCAGAGCTGCCTGGTATTAAGCGAGAAGTACCTATTCCAGCATGTACTGCCTATTAACCTGATTTATAGGTACCCTAGAGCTCATCTCAATACATAGAGATTTGTGGGTAAAACAGTTGGGAAAATAGAGCAAGCAGTCTTCAATCCCCTACTGGAGAGTTAATCTTTAACTTGCCAATCTCTTGTCTCTATCCCAGACAGATGAAAGCCTGTCAGAGTATGCAGTCTGAGATGCCACTGACTAGAAATTCATCTAAGGCCCCAAAGTCCTTGGCACAGTTTTAGAAATGACTCATTATGAGAATGAAACCTAGTTAGCAACTCGAAAACTCTGAATGTCTTTGAAAAAAGTTATATAAGGAAATTTTCTTTAAGTATGAAACATCTAAGAATTTAAGAAACAATATGAGGGAAAAGCAAATAAAATCTTTAGGATGAATTTGTTTTATTCTCATTGGCCATTGATCATGGAATGAATATGTTTTAAGGAGCAGAGGAAACATTTGGAGTGTGATGTTTGAAGGCTAGAAAGCAATTACCTATGCTTTACATTTCTTTTTTCTTTTCTTTTTTTTTTTTTTTTTGGTTTTTTTTTTTTGAGATGGAGTTTTACTCTTGTTGCCCAGGCTGGAGTGCAATGGTGCAATCTTGGCTCACCGTAACCTCCACCTCCCAAGTTCAAGCAATTCTCCTGCCTCAGCCTCCCAAGTAGCTGGGATTACAGGCACGCACCACCACGCCCGGCTAATTTTGTATTTTTAGTAGAGGTGGGGTTTCTCCATGTTGATCACACTGATCTTGAACTCCCGACCTCAGGTGGTCCACCTGCCTCGGCCTTCCAAAGTGCTGGGATTACAGGCGTGAGCCACCGCGCCCTGCTAAGCTTTACATTTCTACAGTCAACTTTGTAACGACATTGCTAAGATAGGAGCAATGAAAAGCAAGAGTCCCTAAGAACTGGCTAACGTGCCAACAGTCTGCGGTCTATAGAAAGTGCAGGCATTCACAGAAGCTAGTCACTTTCCTGGTTTGCTGTTTCCTTTTCCCAGCAATTCTTTTGTTCAAGCTCAGACGCCCATCCCAAAAAGCTGAGAAAGGAAACCTCAGTAAGATAGAAGACACACTTTATAACAGGGCAAGCTGCAATGAAAAATTCACACTGGAAACCTCAGTAGGAAGTAAAATGAAACCCCTGTCTCAAATACAAAGAGGACAAATGTCTTATTATGCTAAAAAGCCTCAAATTCAGTGTGTAGAGCTACTTGGAACAGACAGTTCCCATAGTCACAGTTTTTATTCATTCTTACAAAAACCGTCCTTGAGACCGATGTTCTTTAAATATTGCTATCATTTGTAAAACTGGTTAAAAATGTCTGCTGTATTGTGGCCTTAATCCAAAGACCCAGATGATATATTTCTGCATTTGCATTTATTTCTAATAAATATTATATCTCTGTTGCTCGATGTTTATTTTCTCTTTCATGAGAAAGGCTTAAATGCCAGATAATTTAAAAACAAGTCATGTGAAACTTTTGTAATTATCATCTTACATACTTGCTAATTAATTCATTCATTTAATAAGGAGTACTTACTGTGTGCCTGGCGTTGATTCAGGACTAGGCACTTTTTACAGTGTAAAAACAAACTAGTAACAATGAAAAAAATAAGGACTCCAAGGCTGAAAGCGCTATGAGAAGCTTTTTTTTCACTATCATATCCCTATTCTTCCTAGCATGTCTTAGAAATCTGTGAAATGAATGAATGAATCAATGATCAACACCTCCACAAGCTGACAGCCTAGGAGTAAAGTCAGTATATAAATGTATCTCATACAACTTCTAAATTGATGAGTACTATAAGAAAGAGACACAGTTGGGTCAGAAGTTCAATGGGCAAATAATCGTAATAATTTTAAAAAGAGACACATTAAGTGCTAGAGGAGAATGGAGACATAATTCCATTTTAAGTGCTGGAGTGAGAAGATAGAGTTAGGATGACAGAAACAATAGGTGTTTCAGTTTTGCAGAAACATGGTGTCTCTCAGTGGGAATAATGTTGGAACAATGCTGGAAAGGCAGGTGATGGCAGATCACAGAAGCCTTGAATGCCTGCCAAAGAAAAGTAAGTTCAGAAAGAGAAGCCAGTAAGGGGAGTGTAAAACTGATTAGACTGGAAATAGACTGACAACAGAGAGACCAATTAGGGAGCTATTGGAACAGTCCACGCACAAGTTAAAGGTTACCTGAGCTGGGTAAAGCCAATTTTACAAGGAGTAAAAGTCAAGAAACTGGTGAATTTCTAGCAGAAGCTGACAAGTTAGAGCCAGGCCATGCCAAGCAACACACCAAGGTTTCGATGCTTAGTGGCCGGGGAGGTACACATTCTACTCACAGAAATTGGTACCACAAAAACAAGAGCATTTTGCAGAGATGAGATGAAGGTTTTGGTTTTAGATGTACTACTTTTAAAGAATGATTGGATATTTGGTGACAAATGAAAACACCTGGAAATGTCAAACTAAAGCCCAAGAAAGACATCTAAACTAAATGTAAAAACAAAACTTTAGGATCCTCTGCGTATAGTTTCAGAATCAGCATGTGGTTGAAGCCATGAAATTGAATGAGAGAGAAAAGAAAAGTGCAGATAGAACCTTGAATACTGGCTAAATGTAGGAGGGAGAAAGGAAGTCAGGGAGGGAAGAAAGTGATTCAGAGCCATGAAATCCAAAGAGGAGAATTTCCAAAGCTTGTGGTGCCAAATGCTGCAGAGAAATGAAAGTATATATGAACTGAGAAAAAGCCATCGGATTTGATCACCAGGAAATGATTGGTGACCTTTAAAATGCAATTTCCATAGACTGGTAAGGTCAGTAAACCAACTACTAGGAAGTAAGGGTGGAGAGGATGATAAATCAGTGGAAGAGAGAATACAGATGATGCTTTCAAGAACACTGGCCTTTAGGAGAAGGAAAAAAATAGGAGACTGTCTTAGGAAAGAACAGGTCAAAGGTCAGTTTCTTTAAGACAAGTGTCCCTCAAACTGAAGGAGAGTATTTATCAAATAAGATTGCAGATTCTTAGACAAGGCAGTATGGGGGGGGGGAAAGTTTAAAAACAAATAAATAAAAATAAAATAAAAGATTGAAGACACAAGTAGGAAGAGATAATTGGAGGAGCAAGTTTTTCAGAGCAAACAAGAGGAAATGTAATGGCCTGGAAGACTATCACTTCAGAGAACTAAAGTAGAATTTCTTCTGCTGAGGCAATAGAAAAAATGAAGACAAACTTAATGAAAAGAAATACTGAAGTGAAAAATGAAAAATTTTGAAGGACTTGACATTTTCCTTAAAACAGGAGGAGCCAATTACAACTTCTACTTCTAGGTAAATGAAGTAGACATAATTTTTTCTATTCTTCTTGCTAAGTACAACTACAGAACCTGGGCATTACATATAAAAGAAATGTAAGAAGGCTCTGAAAGATAAAAAGAAGAAAGCAGACCAGCTGGAAACCTAAGGACACAAGGAATAATATAGTGTTGAATTCCATAAGTTTTATTTTTGCCTCCTAAATCGTAGATTTGGAGCTAAGCAGTCAACCCAGAAATTCCAACAAGCACAGGAAAAACAAACAAACAAAAACCTCAAGAACCAGGAAAGGAAGAACAGCCTAACAAGACAGAAAAACTTGCAGATGGTAGTCATTCTACTCCAGTGAAACCCTACAGAACACCTGAAGCCCTACCACACCCACACCAGCAAAGGCCAGGTGGAAAGCCTAGACTTCCACTCTCACAAGGGTGTAACAAGTGCCCAAACATACCTACAAGGATAGTAGGCCTCAGAGAAGGCCAAATAGGGAGCTGGAACATTCATCTCTATCAGGACGTAATGTGAGTGGAGGCCACAGGGACAGTAACAAGGCACTGCTATGCTCCCCACCACAGAGCTCTCAGTGGATGCCTAGTGGGGAGCTGAAACACCCAGTCTCAGTCAGCACTAACAAGGACCCTCTAGATTTCTTCCCCTATATGACAGAAGGAGTCACCCCTACACCTATTGTCACAGAGTGTCAGAAGAAGCCACTCAAAACAGAATGTTGAAATAAGATCCAGAGTCTCATGACATACTACCAAAAAATGTCAAGGTTTCAACTGAAAATCATGCATCATACCAAGAAATAGGAAGGTCTCAAATTGAATGAAGAAAAGACAACCAACAGATCACATCAAGGTGATGGAGGTGTTAGAATTACCTGATGACAATTTTAAAGCAGCCATCATAAAATGCTCTAATAAGCAATAATAAACACACTTGGAACAGATGAAGTTGTAGGAAATTTCAGTAAGAAATAGAATACTCAGCGAATACTCAGCAAGCAAATAGAAAATATAAATGAAACCCAAATGGAAGTTTTAGAACTGAAAAACACAATAACCCAAGTAGAAAACTCATTGCATAGGCTCAATAACAGAATGAGAGAGATACAGAAAAGAATTGGAGAACCGAAATAGAACAATGGAAGTTACCCAAACTGAACAGCAACAACAACAACAAAAAATTGGCTGGAAAAAGGAAATGAACAGAGACTAAGAAATCTGTGGGACTATAACCAAGAGTTAACATGTATGTTAACTCTCACAACATTTTGTGTTAAGAGAGTCTCAGACAATAAGGAGAAAGAGGGTAGAGTTAAAAATGAAATAATGCCTGAAAACTTCCCAACTTTCTCAAACAGGATAAACCCAAAGAAATTGACACCAAGACATATCGAAGTCAAATTTCAGAAAACTAAAAACAAATAAAAATGATTGAAAGCAGCATGAGAGAAAGAGTGCCTTACTTATAGGTGGATAAATAATTCAAAGACAACATATTTCTTATCAGAAATCATGGAGGCCAGAATAAAGTGGCATGACATTTTACAAGTGCTGAAAGAAAAGAATTGTCTATCAGAGTTCTATAACTATCAAAAATGTCCCTCAGAAATGAAAGGGAAATCAAGAAATTCACAGATGAAGAAAAATTAAGATAATTTTTCACCAGCAGATCTACCCTAACAGAATGGCTAGAGGAAGTTCTCTAAGCAGAAAGGAAACCAACAAACAGTGAGGAAGAAAGAACACAGTAAGTATTAATATGAGTAAATACAATACGCTTTCCTCGCATCTTCAGAATTATGTCTGACAGTTGAGGCAAAAATTATAACACTGTCTCATATGGTACTAAATGTTTGTAGAGGAAATATATAAGACAATTCTATTGTAAAGAGGAATGCTAAAGAAATATAAAGAGATGCAACTTTCTTGTACTTTTCTCAAACCAGTAAAATGATAACATCAGCAGGCTACAATAAGTTATACACATAGAATGCAATACTGAGAGAAACCACTAAAAATATATACACAGAGATACATTCAAAATATTATAGGTAAATCCAAATGGAATTCTAAAAAATGTTCAAGTAATGCAGAGGAGGGCAGGGAAAAGGAAACAGAAAAATAAAAAATAGAACAAACCAAAAACAAACAAACAAAAAACCCAGCAGACTTAAGCCCTAACATATCAATAATTACATTAAATTTCAGTAGTCTAAATATACCAATTAAAAGACAAATATTGGCAGAGTAGATGAAAGACGTGACCCAATTATATGCTTTCTACAAGAAACTCACTTCAAATACAAAAATATAGGCAGTTGAAAATAAAGATGGAAAATGATATTCCCTGCAAACATTAATCAAAATAAAACAGCAGTGACTGTATTCCTATCAGATAAAGTAAACTTGAAAGCAAAAAAACAATAAAATTATCAAAGACAAAAAAAGACCTTCTATAATGATAAAAAGGGTAAATTTACCATGAAGGCATGGCTATGCTAAGTGCATGTGTACCAAACAACAAAGCTACAATATATGTGAAGCAAAAACTTATAAAACTGAAAGGAGAAACAGACAAATCCACAAGTATTGTTTGATAACTCAACATCTTCTTTCAACTGTTCAGAGGGCAATTAAACAAAAAAATTCAACAAGAATATAGGAAACTCAGTAACACTGTCAAACGACAGGATCCAATCAACATTGATAAAATATTGCACCCACGAATAGCAGAATACACATTCTCTTCAAGTGTCCAGGGAAGGTACATAAAGATAGATCGTATCCTGGGCCATAAAACATACCTCCACAGATTGGAGGAATTGAAGTCATTCAGCATGCATTCTCTGGACAATGGAATCAAACTGGAAATCAGTAATAGGGAAATCTCAATGCACTTGGAAATGAAACATCATACTTCTGTGGTCAAAAGGAATGTCTTGAGTCAAAAGGAATGTCTTGAGAACATTAAGAAAATTTAAAAATACATTAAACTGAATGAAAATGAAATAAAGTATATCAAAATGTGTGGAACACAGCTAAAGCAGTGCTGAGAAGTAAATTTACATCACTAAATACATACATTGAAACAGTGAAAGCCTCAAGTGAATTTTCTAAGCTCCCACCCCAAGAACCTTGAAAAAGATAAAAAATAAACCCAAAGCAGGAAAGAAACAATAGAGCATAAATCAGTAAAATTGAAACCAGAAAAATTTTTAAAAATTAATTTAAAAAGAGAGAGGATTCTTTGAAAAGGTTGATAAAGTTGACAAAATTCTAGAAAGACTGATAAAGAATAGAAGAAAGTAGACACAAATTACTAGTATGAGGAATGAAATAGGGGCTATCACTATAGACTGAGAAAGCCTCTCTTCCTTGACCTAACTAACTATAGTCAGGCTCCTATGAACTCTCTTCTTGACTAGGCCCTAATATTGGGGCTTCTGTGCTCATCCGTGTTTAGTCCAGTTTTAGCAAGAATCCAGCTGGGTCAGTTTAGGGAAAATCCCCCACCCATAATAGCTGATCAAATTCCTTATCCCCTACCCATAATAATATCTTATCACTCTGGCATGCCTTCGGCAATAATTCTGTCAAGTCAGTTTAGCCAGAATCCTCCTTAACCCTGATGATTCCTCCTAGTAATTTTCCATCTACTGACCTCCCCCCTCCACTCCTCACCCTGCTCCCAGGGCTATAAATCTCCACTTGTCCTGTCGTATTCAGAATTGAGCCTGATCTCTGTCTCCTATTACAAAACTCCATTGTAGTAGCCCCCTTTGAATAATCTGCCTTATCATTCTTTAACAAATGTCAAGAATAATTTTTTGTCTTTGACAGAATCCTACAAATATCAAAAGTATAAGAAGGGTATACTACCAACAACTTTAACACATACATCTGAAGACTTAGGTGAAATGAACTAATTCTTTAAAAGTATAAAGTACCACAACTCATTCAACATGAAACAAATAATTTGAATAGTTTTAAAACTATTAAGAAAATGGAATTTGTGATTTAAACGTTCCCAAAATAAAAACCTCCAGGCTCAAACAACTTTGTGGGTGAATTTTGCCAGACATTTAAAGGTGAATTAAAACAAATTCTGCAAAACATTTACAAAAAAATAGAATAAGAGGGAATTCATTCCAATTCATTTTATGAAGCTGATATTACCCTGATGCCAAAACCAAAGACTATTATGAAAAAAAGCAAACCACAGACTGATAGCCCTCATGAATATAGACACAAAATTCCTTAACAAAATGTTTGCAAATAGAATTCAGCAATATGAAAAGAAAGTATATACCATGACCAAGTGAGATTCTTTCCAGAGATGCAAAGCTGGATCAATATTTGAAAATCAATCAAACAAGCTAAAGAAAAAAAAAGAAGAAGAAAAATTACATGATTATATTTTTAATGCAGAAAACATCTATGACAAAATAAACACCAATTCTTGATTAAAACACTCAGACAAATAGGAATAGAGTAGGACCTCTTCAAATTCATAAAGAACATTTATAACAGTAACTACAGCTAATATTCAATAATGAAAGACAATGCTTTCCTCCTAAGAGCTGAAACAAGGCAAGGATGTCCACTTTCATCTTTCTTATTCACCATAATGTTAGAAGTTCTAGCCAGTGCAATAAGGTAAGAAAAGGAAATAAAGGCATATATATATATATATATATATATATATCAAAAGGAAGAAATTAAACTACAAAACAAAACTAGCAGAAAACTTAATTGTCTACATAGAAAATCCTAAGAAATGTACAAATGTATCATAGAAATAGGCTGAGTATGGTAGAAGGTGGAGGTGAGAGGATCACTTGAGCCTAGGAGTTCAAGACCAGCCTGGGTAAAAGAACAAGACCCCATCTCTACAAAAAAAAAAAAAAAAATTAGCCAAGCATGATGGCATAGCTTATAGTCTCAGCTACTTGGGAGGCTGATGCAGGAGGATTGCTTAAGCCCAGGAGTTCAAGGCTGCAGTGAGCCGTGATTGCACCACTGCACTTCAGGCTGGGTAACAGAGTGAGACTTTGTCTCAAACAAACAAAAAACTCATAGAACTAATAAATGAGTCAGATAGGTCCAGAAAATAAGATAAACATATAAAATCAATCATATTTCTACATACTAGCAATGAACAGGTGGACACTGAAATTAAAAATACAAGACCATTTACAATTGCTCTAAAAAAATAAAATAAAAATACTTATGTGTATGTCCAACACATGTATGGGATTTTGTATGCTGAAAACCACGAAACACTGATTTAAGAAATCAAAGATGTTATAAATAAAGGAAGAGACATATGCTCTTCACAGATTGGAAGTCTCAGCATAATAAAGATGTCAGTTCTCCCCAAATTGATATGAGTTTATGTTACTTTCCTAAGGCTGCTGAAACAAGTTTCTACAAATTGAGTATTTTAAAACAAGAGAATTTTTTTCTCTCACAGTTCTGGAAGCCAGGAGTTTGAAATAAAGGGATCAGCAGGACTGCTTCCTTCTGAGGTCTCTGAGGGACAAATCTGTTCCTGGCCTCTCTCCCAGCTTCTGGTGGCTGCCAGAAATCCTTGGTCTTCCTTGGCTTGTGGCAGCAAAACTCCAGTCTCTGCCTTCATCCTCACATGGCCTTCTTCCCTATGTGTCTTGCTTATAAGGACACCAGTCACTGGATACAGTGCCCACCCTAATCCAATATGACCTCATTTTAGGTTAAATAATTACATTTACAAAGATGCCATATTAGTCTGTTCTTGCATTGCTATAAAGAACTACCTGATCCTGGGTAATTTATATTTTTTTTAAAAAGAAAGAGGCTTATTTGGCTCCTGGTTCTGCAGGTTGTGCAGGAAGCATGGCTGGGGAGGCTTCAGGAAACTTACAATCATGGCAGAAGGCAAAAGGGAAGCAGGCATGTTTTACGTGGCTGGAGCAAGAGGAAGAGAGTTAAGGTGATGGTGCTATACACTTTTAAACAGCCAGATCCTGTTAGAACTCTATCATAACAACAGCGCCAGGAGGATGATGTTAAACCAATAGAAACCACCCCACAACTGAATCACCTCCCACCAGGCCCCACCTCCAACTTTGGGGATTACAGTTCAATATGAGATCTGGGTGGGGACACAGAGCCAAACCATATCAAATATGGTTTGTTTCCAAATAAGTTCATATTCTGATGTTCTGAGTGGACATGAATTTCAGGAAGATGATATTCAACCCACCAAAAAGTTTAACACAATTCCCATCAAAAATCCCAGCAAGATTTTTGGTAAATATAGACAAGAGTACAACAAAATTTATATAGAAAGGCAAAGGATCTAGAATAGTTTAAGTAATTTTGAAAAAGAACAGGCCGGGTGTGGTGGCTCACGCCTGTAATCCCAGCACTCTGGGAGGCCGAGACGGGCGGATCATGAGGTCAGGAGATAGAGACCACCCTAGTTAACACGGTGAAACCCCATCTCTACTAAAAATACAAAAAAATTAGCCAGGCGTGGTGGTGGGCGCCTGTAGTCCCAGCTACTCGGGAGGCTGAAGCGGGAGAATGGCGTGAACCTGGGAGGCGGAGCTTGCGGCGAGCCGAGATCGTGCCACTGTACCCCAGCCTGGGCGACAGAGGGAGACTCTGTCTCAAAAAAAAAAAAAAAAGAAATAAAAATAAAAAGAACAATGAAGTCAGAGGAATCATTCTTTCCCATTTCAAGACTTGATATAGCTACAGTAATCACCACTGTGTAGTACTGGTGGAGGGACAGACACATGGATCAATGGAACAGATCAGAGAACCCAGAAATTGATCCACACAAATATGTCCAGGTGATTTGGGGCAAGGGTGCAAAAGCATCTCCATGGAGGAAAGATCACTTTTTCAACAAATACTGCAGGAGCATGTGGCTAACCGTAGGGATAAATACGACCTCAACCTAACCCTCACATCTTATACCAAAATTAACTTGAAAAGATCATGGGCTCACACTATAAAAGTTTTAGAGAATATCTTCAGGAGCTCAGGTTATGCAAAGAATTCTTAGGCTTGACACCAAAAGCACAACCCATAAAAGGAAAAAAAATAAATTGGACTTTATCAATATTTAAACTTTTGCTCTGTGAAAGGTTCTGTTGAAAGGATGGAAAGTGGCCAGGTGCAGTGACTCACACCTGTAATCCCAGCACTATGGGAGGCCGAGGCAGGTGGATCATGAGGTCAGGAGATCGAGACCATCCTGGCTAACATGGTGAAACCCCGTCTCTATTAAAAATACAAAAAAAAAAAATTAGCCGGGCGTGGTGGCGGGCGCCTGTAGTCTCAGCTACTTAGGAGGCTGAGGCAGGAGAATGGCATGAACCCAGGAGGCGGAGCTTGCAGTGAGCCAAGATCCTGCCACTGCACTCCAGCCTGGGTAACTAAGCGAGACTCCATCTCAAAAAAGAAAGAAAAAAATAACAAAGGATGGAAGGATGGAAAAACATTTACAGCCTGGGAGAAATACTACAAAATAATATCACAAACCACATATCCAACAGAAGCTTAGAATTTAGAATAATAAAGAACTCTCAGAACTCAACACTTAAAAACAAAAACTGAGCAATCAGGTTAGAAAATGAGCAAAAGATATGCAGAGACATTTCAGAGAAGAGAATATACAGATGGTGTATTAGTCTGTTTGCAGGCTGCTGATAAAGACATACCTCAGACTGGGAAGAAAAAGAGGTTTAATTGGACTTACAGTTCCACATGGCTGGGGAGACCTCAGAATCATGGTGGGAGATGAAAGGCACTTCTTACCTGGTGGCAGCAAGAGAAAAATGAGGAGGAAGCAAAAGCGGAAACCCCTGATAAACCCATCAGATCTCGTGAGACTTATTCACTATCACAAGAATAGCACGGGAAAGACCAGCCCCCATGATTCAAGTACCTCCACCTGGGTCCCTCCCACAACACATGGGAATTCTGGGAGATACAATTCAAGTTGAGATTTAGGTGGGGACACAGCCAAACCATATCAGATGGCAAATAAGCACATGAAAAGATGTTCACCATCATTAGTGATTAGGAAAATGCAACTTAAAACCATAATGAGATATCATTACACACCTATTAAAATGGCTAAGATAAAAAATAGTGACAACACCAAATGCTGGTGAGGTTGCAGAGACACTGGATTATTCATGCATCGCTGTGGGAATGTAAAATAGTACAGTCCCTCTGGAAAGCCGCTTGGCAGTTTCTTTAAATATGCAAATACCACACGATCGAACTCTGGGCATTTATTCTGGAGGAAAATAAAAGGAAAAAGCTTTAGACAAATGTTTAGAGCAGCTTTATTTATAATAGCTAAAAACTGGAAACAATCCAGATGTCCTTGAACAGATTAATGATTCAACAGACTGTAGCCAATCCATATCATGGAATACTATTCATATATGTATACTCACATATATGTCAATATAAGTATGTGTGTTGCTACATGCAAAACCACTGAAGGATTACGCTGAGTGAAAGATAAAAAAAAACAGTGCTAAAAGGTTACATACTGTATGATCTGATTTAATTTTTTTTTTTTTTGAGACAGAGTCTCATTCTGTTGCCCAGGCTGGAGTGCAGTGGCACAATCTCAGCTCATTGCAACCTCCGCCTCCTAGGTTCAAGTGATTCTCATGCCTCAGCCTCCCTAGTAGCTGGGATTACAGGTGCAGGCCACCATGCCCAGCTAATTTTGTCTTTTTAGTAGAGACAGGGTTTCATCATGTTGGCCAGGCTGGTCTCTAACTCTTGACCTCAGGTGATCCACCCACCTCGGCCTCCCAAAGTGCTGGGATTACAGGTGTGAGCCATTGCACCCAGCCCTGTATGATCTGATTTATTATAATTTTGTCAAAATTATGCAAGTAAAGAACAGTTTAGTGCATGCCAGAGGTTAGAAGAGAGAGGGAAAGGACGGAAGTGTGTCTGGCTATAACAGAGCAGCAGGAGGGGCCTTTTTGATGACAGAAATGTTCTCTATCTTGACTATATCAGTGTCAATATTCTGATTGTGATACTGTACTATAGTTTTGCAAGATGTTGCCGCTGGAGGAAACTGAATAAAGGGTGCATGGGATCTCTGCATTGTTTTTTACAACTGCATGTGAATCTACAGGTATCCTAAAATAAGAAGTTCAATTTAAAAACATAATAACTGTGGCTGCTACATAATAATTGGTATATATGAGTATTAAGTAAAATGAATTAAGCTAAAAAATGAAATAGGAGAAGGCACTGGCAGGAAGTAGAGATGAAAAGTCTTTGAAAAGGTGTTATATTTCTACTTGATGGGAAGTTAGATAGATTATTTAGAATTGATTCTCCCTCCATTTCAAGTATCATAGAAATGCATCAAAATATTGAAGTGCACAAACACACATATACACAAACATCCTTATGTCCCAAGAACAAAGCAGAGTGTCAAAAGGAACTAAAACAAAAAGCAAAAAAAAAATGCAGGGAGAAGAATAAATATATACATTTCAGGGATGTGGTAGTAATAATCATGGTAGTAGAATCGACCATTTACTGAACACTTACAATAGCCAGCAGTGAAGTGCTTGCCATTCGTTGTCTCACTGCATCGTTTCCAGGTACATTTTGTCAATATTCCAATTTTATAGACGAAGAACTTGAAGCCTGGAGAAGTTAAAATCACTCAGCTGAGAAATGGCCAAGCAAGAGAACAAACCCTGATTTGAGAGTTGGCCGGGCAGGGTGGCTCACGCCTGTAATCCCAGTACTTTGGGAGGCTGAGGCGGGTGGATCATGAGGTCAGGAGAGCTGATGGTCCCCCTGCTGTCTTGTCAAAAGAAGACATACACGTGGCCAACAATCATATGAAAAAAGCTCAACATCATTGATCATTAGAGAAATACAAATCAAAACCACAATGAGATACCATCTCACACGAGTCAGATTGGCAATTACTAAAATGTCAAAAAAATAACACATGCTGGTGAGGCTGTGGAGAAAGAGAACACTTAGATACTGTTGTGAGAGTGTAAATTTGTTCAACCATTGTGGAAGAGAGTGTGGCAATGCCTCAAAGACCTAGAGGCAGAAATACCATTAGACCCAGCAATTTCTTTACTGGGTATATACCCAAAGAAATATAAATCATTCTATTATAAAGACACATGCATGCGTATGTTCATTGCAGCACTATTCACAGTAGCAAAGACATGGAATCAACTGAAAAGCCCATCAGTGTCAGACTGGATAAAGAAAATGTGGTACATATACACCATAGAATGCTATGCAGCCATAAAAAAGAACCAGATCATGTCCTTTGCAGGGACATGGATGGAGTTGGAGGCATTATCCTTAGCAAACTAATGCAGGAACAAAAAACCAAATACCACATGTTCTCACTTATTAGTGGGAGCTAAGTGATGAGAACACATGGACACATAGAGGGAAACAATGCACACTGGGGCCACTTGAAGGGTAGAGGGTGAGAGAAGGGAGAGGATCAGGAAAAATAAGTAATGGATACTAGGCTTAATACCTGGATGATGAAATAATCCATACAACAAATCCCCATGATGCACATTTACCTATGTAACAAACCTGCACATCCTGCACATGTACCCATGAACTTTAAATAAAAGTTAAAAAATAAAAATAAATCAGCAATCTCCTAAGAAGAGAAAAAAAAAAAAAAGAAAAAGAAAATGACCTTGTCAGACCTTTGGCCACGAGGTCCTCTGACCCATGAAACCAAGAGACAGGAGAATAACTCAGAGAACCCAAGCCTGGACTCAAGAAGATCCACCTTCCTTCAGAGATTTAAATATTTAGCATCCTTGGGAGACTGGAAAAACTCAGGCCCAAACAACCTTGGTTTCCATTGTTTTCCTCAAATGGTTTCCAAAATCCATTTGAAGTCTGCTGCTATTTCTATAAGGATGGGACCAAAATGAGAACATCCTTAAAGTGTTAATTTGTTAGGCTTTGTCATGACTGTTAGTGATGGTAATTATTTAAATGATACTGGTTAATTTTTTTATTGTTTCACATAATTTGATTTATTTGCTATTTATTGGTTCACTTATATAATGAGTAGGGTTAGATTAATAGAGTTTAGAATGTAAATTCATTTCCACTAATGTTTATGAGCTACATTTGTAGATGTGGTTTAAATAAATACACAACCAGGAATCAGGATTACAGTATATTTTCAGAGTAATAAAGTCAAAATTCAAATATGTTGCAGAAATAAATAAGATATGCAGATTCACAAAGAAAACCGCCTACCAGAGATGGGAGGCATAGCCAAATTCCATCTCACAGTAAATAGATCTCATTTTCTTCCTGACCCACCCAAAATGAAAATTGTAAAATAAGAAGCCCAGGGTCACAGGTACTTCGGTATGCTATGTCACTGAGAAAGGCTTCCACACTGTCCTACTTGGCCCTGATGTTTGGGGTATGCTGGCAGTCAGAGGGCTTCTGACAAAAGCACTTCGGGGCAGCTTCTCTGCTGGTCCTGCCGTCTCATGCCCTGCCGCATCTAGCTGCAGTTCCTATGGAATACCACGCACCAGGGTGAATGAAGGAGACCAGGGAGCTGCTGGAGCTTCCCTGCAAAATCCTTTGCATGCTCAGCACTGCACACGCTCCTCAGCTGATTGTAGGTAAGAAAATGACCAGAAATAAGTTGCTCCCTGACTTGGGATGGATGAACCCCTCCCAAGCACAAGGGTATTGCTGAGTACACCAGGAGACTCCACTGGCTAAGAGAGTGGTCTTCGTGCCCTGGAAATACCGATTTATCTTATGTGGAAGAACAACAGAAATATCCCTTTACTTGTTGATGTACCTTCAAAATGGTTTAAAAAAAAAGTAATAAATATATATAAATAGATTTTTGAATACAAATTTATGTTCACTAATGTTTATGAGCTACATTTGTAGATGTGGTTAAAATAAGTACAAAGCCAAAAATCAAAATTACAGTATATTTTTGGAGTAATAAAGGGAGAAGTCAAATATGTTTTATATATGTCTATGTATATATATGTGTGTGTATATACGTGTGTATATATATAAATATATACACAAATGTGTGTGTGTGTATATATATATATATATATATATATTTTTTTTTTTTTTTTTTTTTTTTTTTACTGACCACAGAAGCAGGCCAAAACAGTGATGAAACAGCTTAATGGCCTGAATGAGCCAGCCCAGTCCTTAATAAGTGCAGATTTACAAACCAGTCAGCCTTCTATAAAGGAACTATGTTGGTTAGAGGGGCAGGTTGAAGACCAGAAAGTTTCAATAGCCTGCCTAACTTTTCCAGATATTAATGACTGTTAAGGGCTGAACTGTGTTCTCCCAAAATTTATATGTTGAAGATTTAACTCCCAGTATCTCAAAATGTGACTGTATTTGGAGATGGGGTCTTTAAAGAGGTAACTAAGTTAAAATGAGGTCATTGGAGGGCCCAAATCCAATAGGGCTGGTATTTTTATTAAAAGAGGCAATTAGGACACAGATACACACAGCAGAGACTATGTAAAGACACAGCAAGAAGATGGGTAGAACAAGAGGAAGAAGAAGAAGAAGAAGAGGGAGGAGGAGGAGGAGAAGGAGGGAGGGGAGGAAGAAGAGGAGGACGAGAAGGAGAAGAAGGAGGAGGAGAAGAAAGGGAAGGAGAAGAAGGGGAAGGAGAAGAAGTGGAAGAAGAAGAAGAAGAAGCAGCAGCAGCAGCAGAAGAAGAAGAAGAAGCAGAAGAAGAAGAAGCAGCAGCAGCAGAAGAAGAAGAAGGAGAAGAGAGAAGAAGAAGAAGGAGAAGAGAGAAGAAGAAGAAGGAGGAGAGAGAAGAAGAAGAAGAAGAAGAAGAAGAAGAAGAAGAAGAAGAAGAAGAAGAAGAAGAAGAAGAAGAAGAGAAAAGAAAAAGGAGAAGGAGAAGGCCATCTGCAGACTCAGGAGAGAGGCCTGAGAAGGAACCAACCCTACTGACACCTTGATCTTGGACTTCCAGCCTCCCAAACTGTGAGAAAATGTTTCTGTTATTTAAGCCACCCAGTCTGTGACTTTGTTAAGGTAGCCCTAGCAAATTAATACAATGACAAAATTTAACTTTGCATCAAGTCCTACAGCTAAAGTTGGGGCTAGCAGCTCCCTCATCCCAGCAACACAGTAATGGTGTATTGTCATTTTAAGTACCAGAGGAATTGACTTTATTTTTAACTTTGAAACTAGAGGAGATCTTTGGTTATCCCTATTGTAATGTCATTCTTTTTTGTCTTGATGTTTCCTTGAATGGAGAGAAAGGGGTAGAATTACTGCTGGCAAGCAAATTTTACATAAGGTAAAGCTTACTGTTCTATTCCTCAACTATCACCTATGTGCCATGAACACCTGTGGCAAATCCACATTACAGATGTGCTTATGACCTGTAATTTTTAGACCTAATTCTGTTTTTCTTTTAAATTTCTCTCATAAATAAATGTTTAATAAGAAGATGAGGCAGGGTGCAGTGGCTCACACCTGAAATGCCAGCACTTTGGGAAGCAGAGACAGGCAGATCACTTGAATTCAGGGATTTGAGACCAGGCTGGGAAACATGGTGAAATCCTATGTCTCCAAAAAGAAAAAAAAAAAAAAAAAAAAAAAATACAGGTTGGGTGTGGTGGCTCACGCCTGTAATCCCAGCACTTTGGGAGGCCAAGGCAGGCAGATCACAAGGTCAGGAATTCGAGACTATCCTGGCCAACATGGTGAAACCCTATCTCTACTAAAAATACAAAAATTAGCTGGGTGTGGTGGCATGTGCCTGTAGTCCCAGCTACCCGGGAGGCTGAGGCAAGAGAATCTCTTGAACCCGGGAGGTGGAGGTTGCAGTGAGCCAAAATTGCACCACTGCACTCCAGCCTGGTGACACAGCGAGACTCTGTCTCAAAAACAAACAAACAAACAAGCAAATACAAAAAATAGCCAGGTGTGGTTGTGCATGCCTGTGATCCCAGTTACTCAGGAGGTTGAGATGAGAGGATCACTTGAGCCTGGGAGGTCAAGACTGCAGTAAGCCATAATCATTCCACTGCACTCCAGCCTGGGTGACAGAGTGAGACCCCATCTCAAAAAGAAAGAAAAGAAAGGAAGGAAAGAAGAAAGGGAGGGAGAAAGGGAGGAAGGAAGGGAGGAAGCGGGGAAGAACGAGGGAAGGAGGGAAGGAAGCAAGGAGACTTTAGCTAAGTATCAACTAGTGCATGCCTATGGGGAAACTATTAGAGGTCAGGAAAGAACCACTCAAAAGAAGCAGGCTGAGCAAACCTAGGAGCTCACACATTTCCTGAAATAGTTCAAGTTTCCACCTGCCAGAGTAGAAATACGTCATAATACACAGAGCACTGGATAGCATGTCAGAAGGGTGTTGCCTCCATAGTGGGAAAAAGCTAACCTAGACTCGAGACTGCTCTGGTTCTGCCTACAGAGTTTGAAAGCAAGCCTCAAAAGGACGAAACTGTTTCTGAGTATCTTACCTACATCCCAGCACAAAGCTCAAGATTATTTAAAATAAAAAAGAATGTTCAGCATCCAACAAGGTAGAATCACAATGTCACAGATCCAATCGAAAATTACCAGGCATGTAAATAAGCAGGAAACTATGACCCATAATCAGGAAAAAAAATCTATTAAACCTGGCCCAGAAATGATACTAAGGACTAAATTAATAGACAAGAATATTAAAATGGTTGTTGAAACTATATTCTATACAGTACACTCAAGAAGGCAGAGGAAAACATAAGCATGCCAAAAAACATGGCAGGAGAAACAATATTAAGAAGTCCCCAGTCAAGCCTGGGCAACAGGGCAAAACCCCATCTCTACCAAAAATACGAAAATTAGCCAGGCATGGTGGTGCACACCTGTAGTCCCAGACACTTGGGAGGTGGGAGGATCATCTGGGCCTGGGAGATAGAGGCTGCAGTGAGCCATGATTGAATCACTGCACTCCAGCCTGGGTGACAGAGTGAGACCTTATAGATACATATGAAAAAAAAAAGTCCCCAGTGAAACTTCTAGAGATGAAAAGCAATGTCTGAGATAAAAACACATAGGATGACAGTAAAATAATGCCCCCATAAGGTTGTTAAAAAGGTCACAGTAATGAATTTAAAGTGCTTAACACCATGCCTGGATCTTCATTTGCATAAATAATTGATAACCACTGATATTACTGATTCTGCTGTAAATTCAGATTGTCAGAATAATCATAATAGTGGCTAACATTTCTTTAGCACCTATTTATGCTCCATACTGTATTAAGGACTTCAATTTAAATATCTCTAAGAGATATAAGTAAATTTTAAATATCAATTGGTATGTTTTCTTTTTCCTTCCTGTTATTAGTAAGAATTGATTTTCAAACTTAATGTTGGCCTTCTGGTTTCTCTTTATCACTACTTCTTTTTACATTTTGCTTTCCTAATTCTGTTTTTTTAGCCTATAAGCTTCACCTTGGTAAAGTTAAATTTTTTGAATTTTCTTCATTCTATTGATAATTCCTTCTCTCTTATCTTTCAACAATACACTGAAAACACACAGAGAGAGGTTTAAAAAAAAAATAACATTTTGATTAATAGATGTCGTTTTTAAGGTGGACCCAGAGGATAATTCTAACAAACACAAATTGGGAAAATCAGACCCTAAACTTAGAAATAACAAGAAAATATTGTTTAAGTAAAGCAGATCAAGCAGTGCTAACATTTATGGCAACACCTCTTTTAATAAAGAGAATGCTGTCCCCAGATACTCTTTGCCTTCATAAACTGCTCAGCCAGGGATAGACGTAATTTAGGCAGCAGAGGGGTATAGTTTAGGGTGTCAGGGACATAAACACATCATTAAATACAAGCTGATACCAAACATGACAAGATCATAAAACATAAATCTGGGAATTGAGGGCATAGAGAAAGACACAAGACAGAGAAGAATAGAGGAGGACAATAGACAGGGCTTGGCTGGAGGCTTTGGGGGCATTGCAACAGCCCATTGGTACTGCTGCAGCAGAGGAAGACACTCTGACATGGCCACACTGACGCTGACCCATGCACTCCATGTGGGAACATTGTGACATGATCATATGAACCACCAGAAAAATGCTTAACAATTTTAAATTATCAAGTAATGTGTGAAATAGACTGCCCACCATCCCCAATCCCTGCCTGTATTAGTCTGTTTTCACACTGCTATAAAGATACTACCCAAGAAGGTTTAATTGACTCACAGTTCCACATTGCTGCGGAGGCCTCAGGAAACTTACAATCATGGTGGAAGACAAAGAAGAAGAAAAGGCACATCTTACATGGTGGCAGGTGAGAGTGAGTGAATGAATGAGGAACTGCCAAACATTTTAAAAACCATCAGCTCTCATGAGAACTCACTATCACCAGAACAGCATGGGGAAAACTGCCCCCATGACCCGATCACCTCCCTCACTCGACATGTGTGGATTAGAATTCGAGATGAGATTTGGGTGGGGACAAAGAGCCAAACCACATCACTGCCCCTCATTCTGTTCCTGGACTTCTCCCCATCCCCAGTCCCTAATGGAAAGACCTCCGCCCAGACAGCCCCAGCAAAGGCCCTGCTCAGGACAGAACAGAATCCACAGTCAGAAGAGGACAGAACTCGATGCCCACAAGTCACCAACCTACTCACATCTAGTCAACTCCAGACTCTCCCAGGGCTATCATTCTTTCTTCCTATTACATTCTCCTTTCTTCTGCCTGACCCAACCTTGTCAATAATTTTAACATCTCAAAGGCCCTGTGTTTTCATACTTCCAGAATACCCAATGCCTAGTGTGATTTCAAATATATCCTACATCCTGTTCCTCAAAGTGTGGTCCATGGAGCAGAAGCAATGCCATCACCTTGGAGCTTGTTTCAGCTCCAGAAATGCAGGATTTCAGGACACACCCAGATCTACTGGACTGGAATCTGCATCTAAAAAAGATGCCCAGGGGATTCATGGGGATCTTTGAACTTTAAAGGCTAAGAAGCATCGCATGCATCCCATTATCCCCTAAAACTCTTGCTGTCTACTAACAATTTTCTGTGTACAATTTTTACAAAGATATCTGTTATGGACTGAATTGTGCCCCAGCTTCCACCCTCACCAAATTTATATGTTGAAGCCCTAACCCCTGAGGTGACCCCCAATTGTTTGAAAACAATATTTTCAAAAAAAAAAAAAAAAAAAGAAACTCCATTCCCAAAGAATGTATTCATCAAGGGAAATGCATCAAGAGTAAAAATGCTATTGGAAAAACACTGTCTGAAAAGTCACCCTTATCAGAAAGAAAACCAAACATCAACAGAAAATAAAGTGAATGAAATAGTTATGGGAACATTCTGGTTACACGCGAATAGCATTTCCATGGATTCATTATACACTATCTTTGGGGTCCCTATTGCCAAATCATGTTGTAAGAGAGTAAGGACTTTCAGATACTTCCAGAAGTGCCTCCTTTTCCCTTGGAAAATGCCCAAGATACACCTACCTTATGTCAAGTTCCTTGAAACAGCAAAAAACAAACAAACAAACAAAAAAAAAACACTTTCCTTGTGAAGAAATTCTAGAGTCATGAATACTGAAACCAGGATCGTATTCTGTTTAGCTGGTGATGGAGGGAATGGGAAAGAACCTGGAAAAAGAGACAAGATAGACAACAGAGGTCTCTCACACCCCAAAGATTCAATCACTTCTTCCAAAGACCATAACTTCTCTAGATAATTTCGGCGGGGCCGGGGAGGAAATGGCTCCAGTTTATTTCCCCCAAGCATTTGCTGAGCTGAAATCTACCCATGTACAACACTAATAAAATTACTAACTCCTGTTGACTGTGCTTGAGCATAATGAGTCTGTTCTCTATGTTACTAAGATCACAGGAGCTATGGAAAAGGGTCTGTCTTAAAGAGTACGTTTGTAGATTTGTGCTGGGAACAAATCTTCCAGTCTGTTGCAGATGTCCTCAGAGGAAATCATGTTTGTATGAAAATTGTGTAAGGTAGGCAACTGATGGAGCGTCAAACGTGAAAGACGGTTCAATGAGTTTGCATTGCAGTTAAAAACAGAATCGAGCCATGTGACACATTTACAGCCTTGTTGTGGCATTTGCAACAAAGATGTCCAAAAGACGATTCCAGTGCAGAACATTTAAGTTTCTTAAGGCATCACAAAATGAGTCACATACAGAAATAAATATTTTACACATCCATCTCTGTGATATGAATACTTAACACTCATATAGCACTTCTATTCTGCTTATTAAATACATCACCTAATTTAATTCCTACAACAAATGAGGGTATTCGCATTATCATCATTATTCTCATTTAACAGATGAGAAACTGAGGCACAGAAAGATGAATTTGTTAGCCTAGGTTTACACAGCTAATGAGTGGGATTCAAAACTGGGCCTCAGTTGGGATTCAAACCTGGGCCTCAGTTGGGCACAGTGGCTCACACCTGTAATCCCTGCACTTTGGGATGCCAAGATGGGCAGATCACCCGAGGTCAGGAGTTTGAGAGCAGCCTGACCAACATGGAGAAACCCCCTCTCTACTAAAAATACAAAATTAGCCAGGCGTGGTGGCACATGCCTGTAATCTCAGCTACTTGGGAGGCTAAGGCAGGAGAATCACTTGAACCCGGGTGGCAGAGATTGCGGTGAGCCAAGATCACGTCATTGCACTCCAGCCTAGGCAACGAGAGCAAAACTCCGTCTCAAAAAACAAACAAACAAAAAAATTAGCCAAGTGTGGTGACGCACACCTGTAATCCCAGCTACTCCGGAGGCTGAGGCAGGAGAATCACTTGAACCTGGGAGGCAGAGGTTTCAGTGAGCCGAGGTCATGCCATTGTACTCCAGCCTGGGCAACAAGAGCAAAACTCCGTCTCAGAAAAAAGAAAAAGAAAAAACCCAAACCTAGGCCTCCTGCCAACTGTGGCCAGAGCCACTGCACTATCCCACCCCCTAAATCCTCAAGGCCCAGCAAGCCCAGGTGTATAGAGGCCAGGTCCCAGTGGCAGGAAAAATCAGGCCTTATAAGAATCTTTGAATCATCCGGAACCTTTATTTTGGAACTCAGACAGATGAATTTGTCAATACTTGTACTCCTTCTGCAGATTGCCGGGTTCCAAGCCCCAGGTCTGCAACTTAATGGCTGTGTGGCCAAAGGCAAGTCACCTAATCTCTAGGCCTCTCAGTTTCCCATTTCATAAAATGAAGAAAAGGGCCGGGTGCGGTGGCTTATGCCTGTAATCCCAGCACTTTGGGAGGCTGAGGCGGGTAGATCACGAGGCCAGGAGTTCAAGACCAGCCTGGCCAAAATAGTGAAACCCCGTCTCTACTAAAAATACAAAAATTAGCCGGGCATGGCGGCGGGCACCTGTAATCCCAGCTACTTGGGAGGCTGAGGCAGGAGAATCACTTGACCTGGGAGGTGGAGGTAGCAGTGAGCTGAGATTGCACCACTGCACTGCAGCCTGGGAGACAGAGCAAGACTCTGTCTCAAAAATAATAGTAAAATAAAAATAAAATGAAGAAAAGAATAGTTGCACTTATGTCATTTTAAAGATCATATGAGTTAATATCTTCATAACCATTTGAAACCATGCTAGGCATATGGCAAATGCCATGTTAGCTACTGTTATCCCTGGGTAGACGTCCAATGCCTGATTCATCCCTGTGTCCCCCACAGAGCTGAGCCCATAATGGACGTCAATTAATATTGATGGAGTTAATAAACAAGCAAGGCTTTAGGAAGGAGGAGACATTTAAGGAGGCCTCCTATGAGGAGTGAAATTTGGAAAAGCAGAGAGATTAGAGAAAGGCATTTTAGGAGCAGGAATCGGCTGAAGGTACTGGAAGAGCAGGAGGAGCCAAGACAGTTGATAGGGTTTGGCTGTGTCCCCACCCAAATCTCATCTTGAACTGTAGCTCCTATACTCCCCACATGTCATGGGAGGGGCCTGGTGGGAGGTAACTGACTCATGAGGCTAGTTTTTTCCCATGTTGTTCTCCATAGTGAATAAGTCTCATGAGATCTGATGGTTTTATAAAGGGCAGTTCCCTGCACACACTCTCTTGCCTGCCACCATATCGGACTTGCCTTTTTCCTCTTTCAGCTTCCACCATGATTATGAGGCGTCCCCAGCCATGTGGAACTGTGAGTTCATTAAACCTCTTTCCATTTATAAATTACCCGGTCTCAGGTATTTCTTCATAGCAGTATGAAAATGGACTAATACAGTAGTCCTGTGGGACTATAAGGAGACAAAGTCAACTGGAGTGGAGGACTCTAGCTGGAAAGTACATGGGAAATAACAAAGAAAAGCAGGATGGGGTCAAAAGATGAAAATCTGGAATAGCCCAGGCTATTCCAGGTCTGTAGCCCTCTCAGGTCTGCGCTCTTCTCTTTCCATTTCTATGTGGTTAAGAATCTTTGTAGATGGAGGCCGGGCGGGGTGGCTCACACCTGTAATCCCAGCACTTTGGGAGGCCGAGGCAGGCCAATCACAAGGTCAGGAGATTGAGACCATCCTGGCTAACATGGTGAAACTCCATCTCTACTAAAAATACAAAAAAAAATTAATCAGGCATGGTGGTGGGCACCTGTAGTCCCAGCTACTCAGGAGGCTGAGGCAGGAGAATGGCGTGTACTTGGGAGGCAGAGCTTGCAGAGAGCCAAGATCACGCCATTGCACTCCAGCCTGGACAACAGAGCGAGATTCCATCTCAAAAAACAAAAACAAAAAGAATCTTTGTAGATGGCTGAGTGCAGTGGCTCATGCCTGTAATCCCAGCACTTTGAGAGGCCAAGGTGGGCGGGTCACTTGAGGTCAGGAGTTTGAGACCATCCTGGACAATGTGGTGAAATTCCATCTCTACTAAAAATACAAAAATTAGCTGGGCATGGTTGTACGTGCCTGTAATCCCAGCTACTCAGGAGGCTTTGGGCATGAGAGTTGCTTGAACCTGGGAGGCAGAAGTTGCAGTGAGCCAAGATGGCACCACTGCACTCCAGCCTCAGCCTGGGGGACAGAAGGAGACACTGCCTCAAAAAAAAAAAAAAGTATTTGTAGACTCATTGCCTAACCTTGCTATACAGTTATATTATAAAGCAGTTTTCTTTAACAGTAAAAAATAGTAATAATTCTTTCTTACTGTAACTGTTATACTGTGCTTTAAACTTTTTGTGGCATTTATACATTTATTATCTCATATAATAAACATCTATCTTGTAAGCTACATTAAAAAATAATACATTATTATATAATATGTATAAATGCGTTATTTTCTGAGCTCACTTTACAACTTAAATTAATACTGAAGGCTAAGAAAGCACCTCGTAAGTCAGGCTTATACCATCGAAAACCAATTAGTAAAGATTAACAGTTTGGGTTATTTGCAAGCCCTCTTCATTCTCAATTGATTTTCTATCATTAGATAGACGGAAATTGGTCCTGGCTTGACTGAATCATTGGATCTGCATATTTCTGATGAGTATTCAATGCATGACAGAAAATTTTAGTTGGGGATATGGCAGCAAAGGGATTTCCATCTGTTATAGGTCAAAACCTAACCAAAGACACGTATGATCCTTTTTTTTTTCAGATGGAGTCTCGCTCTGTCGCCCAGGCTGGAGTGCAGCGGTGAGGTCTCAGCTCACTGCAAGCTCCACCTCCCGGATTCGCGCCATTCTCCTGCCTCAGCCTCCCGAGTAGCTGGTACTACAGGCGCCCGCCACCACGCCCGGCTAATTTTTTTTATTTTTTAGTAGAGACGGGGTTTCACCGTGTTAGCCAGGATGGTCTCGATGGTCTCGATGGTCACAAGTCAGGAGACCTTGTGATCCGCCCGCCTTGGCCTCCCAAAGTGCTGGGATTACAGGAGTGAGCCACCGTGCCTGGCCGACATGTATGATCTTTCGAGTGCTATAACTCTGTCAGGCTAGACTAGTTGGAATTGGTTCTGGCCAGTCCTGGACAGTCTTCCCCAAAAGAGAAAGAAGCTCCTCGGGTAAATTCTGACTCTAGCCGAGACCTACTCAGTATTACTAGCAGGGTGAAATGTCACAATCAATATGATTTTCATACTCCTTTTCATTGACTTTCTCAACAGGTAGGATGAGGGCAGTTGCAAAGGGAAAGAATTCAGAGCCCTTCGTACTGTGACACTTTTGGAAGAATGCTTTCAGTCTTCTGACCCCCAAAATCACTCAGAAGTAAGTGTGTCCATTTTACAGATGAACGATTCACACTTGGGCTTTCAACCCTAGCAGTGGCAAAAGAATCCTATTGTCCCCTGGTATAGACACACGCATTTTGAAAAATAAGTTCAGGTGATCCCTGAGCCAGATGGGGATAGCAAATGCATGTTCCTTTTTTTTTTTTTTTTTCTTATTGAGTGGCAGTAACTTTTATTTGTATCTCTTCACGTTTCTGTTTTGTTTTGTTTTGTTTTTAGGGTAAAAAGATGCAATTACTCTGAATGATACCATTTCAGGGCCCATGGTAATGGGACTCTGTGTAATTTGTGAGTGGTCAGTGGAGCAGGACCAAGCATATACCACCCAGGCCTCTGCACTGTCACCTCGCTAGGAGTGTTTATGTCTCCCTACACACAGTACTCTGTTGGCTGCCAAGTATTTTCACTCTGCCATGCCACGTGTAATAAAGAATCCATTTCCAGGCAATTCTCCATTGCATATTCTTGATGAAAGGTGGCTGGCGGGCACCACACTACAAACTGGAAACCCTTTGTACGAACACATATCCTGCCCTGTTACTGCCACTTCATTGATTTAGGATTGGCATTTACTAGAGCTCTCCTTCAAGATCCCACAAACCGGGCACCATTTCCTTCCTCCACCATTGCCTTACCAGGGCTGGTCATTTCCAACTCTCATTTTCTTTCGAGTTGGCATGAGAAGCATACACAAAGCAGAAAGTGGTGCAGTCTGTTTTTCTGTTTTTATTGCCTTCTGCATATACAGAGGGGTCCCTGGTGTCCCTTTCCATATCTAAGTTCAACATTTTACTCAGTAACATGCAGTTACGGAATAAACAAGAAAATGAATCACAATAGCTTGGATAAAGAGCGAGCTCTGGAGCCAAGTAACCCACAGAGTGCCCACATTTATAGGCATCATAGATGTTGCTGCTGATTTTATTTAAAGCTGGGGAATGCTGGACTCAGGCTGCAACAGGGAAGGATCATGTGAAGGCAAATGCATGTTTTGCAACTTAAGCTGGTGCTATCTGTAAGTGTGGGGATGGCGAGCCTTGTGCAAAAATACACGCTTTCCAACCAGGTCCACCATCCCTAGCAACTGGTGACTTATTGGAGCCAACACTTAGGGATACTTGTAAGAATTTTATGGCAACCCCAGGTTATCAGCATTGCAGCAGACCTCTGGAACCCCTGAGTGCAAACCTGGGCTGATGGAGAAAGAGAAGGGAAGCCCAAAAGGAATCATTTCCTCCTCCTCCCAACTATGCCTGATGCCCCTCTGTATATGGGAGGTTCATAAACCCTTCTACCCTGCTTTATATTTTCAGGACACCAGCGTGCTTCCTTTCCTGATCAATGAAATGCCCCAGATAGCCATGCAATCTGCACTGTCACCATATGGCATCTGCCACATGAAAACACCAGTTCAGCATTGGTCCCTCCTCATTCTGTCATCTCATTGGCAGAAGTGTCATTAACTTTGTGGTGACAATTATTCGAGGACCAAGGAAACTGTGGAAATTTGTAAACTCTTGCATGGCTAAATTAAATGCTATTTTAACTAACAGTTAATAGTGTTTACTGCTGTGTAATAGTAATTTTCATTTTTTACTGTATCTAATGACATTCTGATGACTGGAATTCTCTGTAGGGATACCAAATCATTACATTAAGGATGAGTGATTTTAGTATGCAATGACTGATCAGTACAATAATATGTAGCCTAATGCTTAAGCTAGTAAATTAAATCATTTGCACCACAGTGTTTGTCAACTAGAATAGGGATTCCATTATGCTGTTAAATTATAATGTAGAGGCTGCTTAAAGTAAAATAACAAATGAGCATCTCAAATTGTGACACATTGGTGGAATATTTTCTTAAGAGGTATGGAAAAGAGAGAAACACTCCTAATCAACCCAAACAGCCCATCAACTTCTTGTGGTAGGTGACCATTGAACTGAGTTATAAAGGTAAACTTGTAGACACCTTAAAATGTTGGTATAAGAGAATTGCCTGCTAGAGGGAGAGAAGGGAAGTAGGACCTCAGGGAAGGTTTGGATAGTTAACCATAGAAGAATTGGTTTCATCTTGGCATGTGAGATCTAACGAAAAAGCACTGTTGAAAGGCAAAAGAAACGACTCCCTTCCAACTGGTGATTGGCCATGTTTGGGAGCATGTTCAAAATATAACAGCCACCTGGGCGAGACTCCTGTCTCCAGACTGCAGTGAGAGACTCTCCTCTCTGGCCTGAAAGCCATTAAGGCTTTCCTAACTCTCAGACAAACTAGACTGCATTTCACAAACAGGAAATCCTTTTTAAGTTGGCCTCGCCAAGAAGCTAAAGCAAGTTCCGTGTTTAAGATATGAGATCACTCAAACTTGAAAGGCTGCAATACTCTCAAAAAAAAAAGTCATCTAAGTTTTTAGACTTCCTTTTATCTCAATGATTCTCAATCATCAGATCATGTTTGAGAATCAATATTAAAGAAAGATTTGAAGAATAGAACTGGCAGAGTTTTCTCTTGGTTAAAAAGACTTGAAGAATAGAATAAAAGACAGGGGGAAGAGAAGGAATGTTATCCTGTTTTTCCTAAAATAGAGGCTGTGGGATGGGGTGCAAAGGGAAGTAAACTTTACTCAAAAAACCTCAGTGTCTTTTGTAGAGGAAACTTTAAAAACAAGGTCTATTCCATTCAATTCAATTTAAAATTTTTTAGCTAAGCACACATTGGAGCAACTTTAGGAGTCAGGCTGGTTGATAGGTGTTGGGTTTTTTGGTTTTGTTTTTGAGACAGGATCTCACTCTGTCACTCAGACTGGAGTTCAGTGGTGCAATCACAGCTCACTGTAGGCTCAACCTCCCTGACTCAAGCCATCCTCCTGCTTCAGCCTCCTGAGTAGCTGGGACCACAGGTGCACACCACCACACCTGGCTAATTTTTAAATCTTTTGTAGACATGAGGTCTCACTCTGTTACCCAGGCTGGTCTTGAACTCCTGGGTTCAAGTCATCGTCCCACCTAGACCTCCCAAAGTACCGGGATTACAGGCATAAGCCACCATGCCTGGCTGGTTCTGGACTTATAGGGATGAGTGCTGAATCATTATCCTCAAGAAGCCCACAACGCAGTAGATGACACAATATGGAAAACATGAATTACTACTCAGCTCCTTGCGTTCTAACACAAAGATACGCAGAACCCTAAGAGCTCCCAGAAAAGAGGCCGTAGCTCTTTAGACGGAGTGAGGAAGGCTTCCCACAGACTTCACCCTTTATGTCAGTTAGGAGTTGGTCAAATGAAGAAAAGGAGAAAGGTCTTTCCATCAAATAAAAATGCACAGAGGTTTAAGAAAATGTGAGGTATCAACCAAGATTCAAAAGAGTAGTAGGAAGAACCCTCGAAATCATGGAAACCTTGTACAGCACACAGTAAGTCAGAGTAAGTGACCGTGGATGGATTTGTATTCTGGAAATGTCATTCTGGTGGCAATGGAGAGATGGTTTAAAGAGAGGAGAAGGTACAAACTGAGATAGCAGTAAGAAAATTATGATAATAATTATAACAGATGATAAAGGCATGTGAACGATAGTGACTATAGAAAGGCCGCGGCCGGGCACAGTGGCTCAAGCCTGTAATCCCAGCACTCTGGGAGGCCGAGGCGGGCTGATCACGAGGTCAGGAGATCGACCATCCTGGCTAACACGGTGAAACCCCGTCTCTACTAAAAATACAAAAAATTAGCTGGGCGAGGTGGCGGGCGCCTGTAGTCCCAGCTACTCGGGAGGCTGAGGCAAGAGGATGGCGTAAACCAGGGGGGCGGAGCCTGCAGTGAGCAGAGATCACGCCACTGCACTCCAGCCTGGGTGACAGTGAGACCCTGACTCAAAAAAAAAAAAAAGAAAGAAAGAAAGAAAGAAAGGCCGAAACATACATATTTAGAAAGTAAGATGATAAGACTATTGACTGAGATATGGAATTGACATAGCATGCAATGAGTAAGTAATACTAGTCATGGCACAAGGATGCCATTCGTTGGTTGCATTTATTCAATACTAATCAGTACACTAAAATGGCCTCCCTTTGGTAAGCAAAAACACTATTTATACATTTCAGTTTCTTCCCAGGGTATCAAAAGAGAAAACTCTCATGTAATACTATTTGGTATTTTTACTATAAATCAGGCCACTTTACCCAAGATGTAATTCAGAGCAAACGGTATTATTGCAGATTACATTATTCATATTGATATTCAGTGGGTGTATTCTGTGCTAGGGTTTGTGACATTCCTGCCCTGGATGGGGCTGATTGGTTCAGGAGTGGGTTTATAGAGCTAACAAACTGCCTGGCACACAATCTCTACCAATAGGTCACTGGCCACACCTACCCTCCCTTTCAGGGAGCTTGAATCAAAGACACCAAGACAGAATTACCAAGTCCATGATGACAGGAGAGAAAAAAGCCAAGAGAAAATAGCTGAGTCGCCAAAGAAGAAAATCACCCAAGCAAAGAGGATCACATACCTGCTGGTGAGAGGGAAACAAACTCTGTGGTTTTGTTAGCTCTGACTCATGTCCTCAAAGATGGATGTGCAGGTTGGGCACTGCACAAGCACCTCTGGCTAAGGGGATAAATTGGAACAGAAATACAGCTCACCTTTCACCTACCAGGCCAAGCACATGTGTTCAGTGCAGTGACCACCCGGAGAAGGGCTGCCCTAGATTTCTAAGTGGCCCAGAGGCCCTATAGGGCCTAACAGTGGCCCAAGAGAAAACAGTTCAGCTTGCTGTGATGCCTGGTATGCAGAATTGACACTATCTCCTGTCTTGCTTTCAAATCCTTTCAGCAATGACAACTGCCATCAAACAAGAAAAGAAAACTTTTTTTTTCTTTTCTTTCTTTGAGATGGAGTCTCACTCTGTCACCCAGGTTGGGGTGCAATGGTGTGGTCTCGGCTCACTGCAACCTCTGCCTCCTAGGTTCAAGCAATTCTCACACCTCAGCCTCCTGAGTAGCTGGGATTACACTCCACCACACCTGGCTAATTTTTGTATTTTTAGTAGAGACGGGGTTTCACCATGTTGGCCAGGCTGGTCTTGAACTCCTGACCTCGTGATCCACCTGCCTCAGATTACAGGCGTGAGCTGCCGTGCCCAGCCTCACAACCCTTCTTAAAAAAAAAAAACAAAAACAAACGAAATCTAGGTGTGTTTTTGCCATACAATGTATAGTTCCTTAAAAATCTCATATAAATGCAAAATTGCCACATATAGAATAATGTCTTATTGGTACATTTAAATTTAGTTTGATTTTATTAGCTTAGGTTTAGTTTCCATTGGCACTGGCATTTCCAAAGACATAAACCCAATATTTTTCAAAACGGATCCAAAACATTTCCTCGAAATCTTTGAATCTACGAGTAAAATGTTACATCTCCTGAGATTTGTTTTGCTCTTTAAAGTAATTCATAATTATATTTTCTCAGCTAGAAACTGTTTCCCGCTAATGACATCACAGTGCTAATACTTACCTTCTAACTTTCACAGGCAAATGAGGCCTTAATTAGAATACTTCAAGTAAATAAATGTGTTTGAAGGGATTTCCTAGCATTGTACTTAAAAGGATCGTTAGGCTAGGCGAGGTGGCTCATGCCTATAATCCCAACTTTTTGGGAGGCCAAGGCAGGAGGATCATTTAAGGCCAGGAGTTTGAGACCAGTGTGATCAATATAGCAAGACCCCATCTCTACATACATTTTTTTAAGTTTAAATTTAAATTTAAACATTTAAAAAAATTTTAAATCTACATAAATTTTTAAAATTTTTAAAAAATTGTTGTGCACCTATAGTCCCAGCTACTCGGGAAGGATTCCTTTAGCCCAGGATTCTGTGGCTGCAGAGAGCTATGATCGTGTCACGGCACTCCAGCCTGGGTGTCAGAATAAGAGATCCCCCACTCCCCACCTCCTGCCCCTCAAAAATAAATAAATAAAAAGTTTTTTTAAAATAAAAGGACCAACACTCTCACCATTTAGCTGAAATAAAAACCCTTTGCCACATGGCACCCTGGCACAATGTGTTTAATGTGATCAGATTTGATGTTAGAAAGGAAGTTATTGACATTCTCATAAGAATTTTTAAAACTCGGGCAGTGCTCAGTGGCTCACTGAGCCCCAGCACTTTGGGAGGCAGAGGCGGGTGGATCACCTGAGGTCCGGAGTTCGAAACCAGCCTGGCCAACATGGTGAAACCCCATCTCTACTAAAAATACAAAATTAGCCAGGTGTGGTGGTGCACGCTTGTAATCCCAACTACTTGGGAGGCTGAGGCAAGACAATCACTCAGACCTGGGAGGCCGAGGTTGCAGTGAGCTGAGATCGCAGCATTGCACTCCAGACTGGGCAACGAGCGAAACGCCGTCTCAAAAAACAAAAAAAGAATTTTTTAAACTCAAACTAAGATATTTTTTAAATTTGGGGTATTTTCTGGGATATCTGATTACCTAAAACAAACTATTAAAATATGCAGTTTTTAAGAACTGAATTTAACAAGCTCTCTAGGAACCAGGAACTATGCATTTCACAGAGGCACTCTCTTGGTGCTTAGTATGCAAAGAGAAGATGAGAAGATGAGAGCATTTTCTTTGCCCACTAATTTCGCTAATTTGTGTTATTGGGTGATCATATATCCTTACTTAAGGGATTAGCCACTGTTGTACCATTTTATTTCAGTGTTCCAAGAATTCCTTTGGAGATTAAAAACAAATCCTTGGAATGAGAATCCAATTTTTTTCGTCCAAAATTACTTCTTGGGACACCAGTGCAAAATATCAGAAATGAGCTAATCCCTTAAGAAAGGGATATTTGATAACTCAATAGCACAAATTAATTGTGAGAATGCTCAGGGAATCCAAATGCATTATAATTAATTTAATTCTTAAGAAATACATTGAATAATGTACGTAGCTAATCCCCATAAATGTAACCTAGTGGAGGGAAGGTGGGAGTTGGCGTTCTTGCCCTTCTCTGATCTTATAAGCCAATAATCAGCCTGCAGTTTCAGGAAGCAGCTCTAGAGTCGGCACATTCATATGTAAAAGATTATATAGGCATGTAAACTCTACCACAAAAAGATAAATATCATTTCCAGCAGACAAATATATGAAAACAGGTATAAACTGATGGCTCGTACTACCCAGTGGAATAAACTCTTCTGCAATAGAATGAATATGTTCTTCTATAAAGGAAAAGAGTCACATCATAGGGAAAAGAGCTTATTTGGTGAGCACATTTAAAGCTGAATGCGTATATTGTCTCTCGTGGACTTAATGACTCATTTTATTTTTTCCCCCAGAGGTCCAGAGTTACAAAAGCATTATATTTTAAGTTGTGAATTCCTCATTACAGAAATGTTTTATGTACTGCTGCATTCAGATTAAGCTTCTCTGGTGATATCAAAAAAAAATTAGTTATCATGTCTAATTTATGACCCACTTGGCATGCTTCAGTGAGACATTTAGCAAATCAGATTGGTGGGTTGTCAACTATCTTAAGTAATATCATAGCTACTTACGCCATGTAGCTTTTTTTCAAAAAAAGACTGTCAACATTTTCAAGGCCTTTTCATTAAACCATTAGCAGCCCAAAGCTAAGTGGTACGCAGTCTAGAAGGAAAAGGGCTGTAGGTGAAATGCTGCTCCTCTACTGAAATTAAATGCAGACAAACAAAACTCAGAAAACCCATTATGCATCTGGGCAACAGCTGAGTACGCCAGGTGAGTAGATTCACAGGCCGTGGCCAATTTGTATGGCTTTTCCACCTAACAATAAATTCTAAAGGAACACGAAGCACCGCTCCATACCGTGCAATCTTCATGCCAGCTCTGTCTTGTTTTCTTCGGGATGCCAGGTGAGAAAAGTCACCATGGATTCTGGGTGGGAAAAGTGAAGGCTTGCTTTCCATCTCACTCCCACCTCCATCTGTGTGACCTCATGTGATTAAGCTAAGGCCATTGTCCCTCCATTTGTCCTCCAATGAACAGCCATTGTTCCTTTAGTACAAATGTCCTGAATGCCTACCCTGTGTGTAGTTACACAAATGCATAACCCACAGTCCTGTTCCAGTTGCACAGGAAGTGGCCATCAGATTGAGGGAGTAACAGTAAATCACGAGAGGTTAAAAAACAATACAGAATAAAATAACCACAAAAGGCAACTACAAATGGCGACCAAAAGCAAGCAGATGACTAAGTGACTGATGAGTGGTTCAGACAAGAAGCTTTTATGGAGGAGGTGACTTGGAGGTGGGCAGGATTGAAGCCCACAGAAAGGAGAAAGAGCTGTTATCACACTCCCATGTTTGTGTGACCACATACTACTCATGTGCAAAAAAAAAAAAAAAAAGCACTGGACTAAGCTCGTTAGTGCTTTCTCCTATCTTTTATACATGTTGCCTCTTTTGTTTTCCCAAAAGGAAGGGAAAAGATAAAAATGGTATGGCCAGAGCCTGGGCAGTAAGGGAACAAAGAGGGCTAGTCCAGGACATCAGCTGTGGAAAAAGATCAGCCTGAGGCCTGTTCCTACCAGCAGCACCATGAGAACTCGGGCAGGGCTTCCTCAGAGCATTGCTCCCCACAGGAAGGGTGGTAGACCAGCAAGCTGGCTCACCACACTACTAGACAGAAGGCAGACAGAGAACCATTGAGTCAGGGAACGGTCCTTGTGAGGCATCAGATCATTCTTCAGTCCCCTTGCCTCGGCCACATCTTTTAGACTAATTCATTGTTAATTTTCCTTCAACAAATAAGAACTGCCTCCTATGTGACAGGCACGGGGCTTTCCTATTCTTTCTTTTTTTTTTTTTTTGAGACAGAGTCTTGCTCTGTCGCCCAGGCTGGAGTGCAGTGGCGCTATCTTGGCTCACTGCAACCTCCGCCTCCCAGATTCAATCGATTCTCCTGCCTCAGCCTCCTGAGTAGCTGGGACTACAGGTGCGCACCACTATGCCCACCTAATTTTTGTATTTTTGGTAGAGACAGGGTTTCTCTATGTTGGTCAGGATGGTCTCGATCTCTTGACCTCATGATCTGCACTCCTTGGCCTCCCAAAGTGCTGGGATTACAGGCATGAGCCACCATGCCCGCCCTTCCTATTCTTTCTTAGTCTTAATAAAAGAGATTGTGGCTCACAGTAGAACAGGAATTAAGACAGCAGATATAGTCCAGCCACCATGGCTCACACCTATAATCCTAGCACTTTGGGAGGCCAAGGAGGAAGCATCACTTGAGCCCAGGAGTTTGAGACCCGCCCGCACAATATAGCAAAAACCCGTCTCTATGAAAAAGAATTTTAATAAAAAATTAGTTGGGTGTGGCAGTGCATGCCTGTAGTCCCAGCTACCTGGGAGGCTGAGGCAGGAGGATCCCTTGAGACCAAGAGTTCAAGGCTGCAGTGAGCTATGATTGTGCCACTGCACTCCAGCCTGGACGACAGAGAACCTTCCCTGCCACCCGCCAAAAAAAAGACAGCAGATAAAGTAAGTGCAGAGACAAAAGGAGAGTCCTGCCATGCCTCTGTCTTTTTTTAGGTGCCTATTAATTTTGTTCATATATACCTTCCTTGTTTATCAAATGGTGAAAGCAATTCATGCTTTGTAATCTAGTATTTGATTGTGAACCCAAATGAAGTATTTTGGGGTTTTTGGATTTTGGAGGGTCTTGTTTTTAATTTGTAGGTTTTACCTTATTTTTAACTGACACATAATAATTGTACATATTTTTGGGGTACAGTGGGACGTTTCGATGCATGTATACAATGTATAATGACCAAATCAGGGTATTAAGCACACCTATCATTCCTGAATGATATTTAAATATTCATTCCTAAATGATATTTAAGGGTATTAAGCACACCTATCATTCCTGAATGGCATTTGAAGACTAATTAGCTAATTCCAAAAATACTTGGGGTATCTGTGAGAAACAAGCTTTGGGCGTGGAGTATGAGCCTCCTCTCTGTATCATCATGTGTACTTGAATCCTCAGGTTGTCTGCCTTTTACATCCACAGAAGATGTATGGTTAAGTATTGTAAAGATTTCTGATCTCAGGATGCATTTCGCATGTCATACAGAGAACGCAAAGTATATGCAGCATACAGATGCAAAATTGCACAAATGCACACACTGAAGGTAAGCGTCCCGCATTTGTGATTTTAAGCTACTGAAGGCACAGAGCTCACTCACATTCTTCCTGCTGTGACTCATGGCTTTTGCAGCAGAAAAGAAGACTTTCTTTCCAGGAATCAATTATTTAATATCTTTCCAAATAAACACATCAAAAGCAAACAATAATACCTATTAGGGAAGAGATATGTAAGCCTGAGAGTTAAACATATCCGAACTGCTTTCGACAAACAGGTTATAAAACAGAATGCACAGCCTTAAAAAAGGAAGGCAATTCTGACCTGTGCTACAACATGGATAAACCTTGAGGACGTTATGCTAAGTGAGGTAAGCTAGACAGAAAAGGACAAATACTGATGATTCCACACATATGAGGCACTCTCATATGATTTTTACTAATAAAAATTATGGAGGCAGAAAGTTGCATGGTGGTTGCCAGGGGCTGGGAAAAGAGGAAAATGGGGAGTTATTGTTTAGTGGGTGGAGAGTTCCTGTTTTACAAGCTCAAAGATTTCAGGAGATGGATGGCGGTGATGGTTACACAACAATATGAATATACTTAATGCCACTGAAGTGTATGCTTAAAGATAAAGTGGCAAATTTTATGTTATGTGTATTTTATCACAATTTTTAGAAACAGAAGGCAATGGAAATGTATACAGTGAAATGATGTGATAACTGGAATTTGCCTCAAAATAATGGCAGGAGAGGGAGTTAGGTAGAGATAAAATAAAGTTGGCCATGATTTGCCCATTGTTAAAGCTGTGTGATGAGCACAAGAGGTTTGATTATATGCTGCTTGCTTCTCTTGTATATGTTTGAAATTTTCCTTTTTTTTTTTTTTTTTAAGTTTAAGAAAAGGAACCCCAGGGCCGGGTGCGGTGGCTCACGCCTGTAATCCCAGCTCTTTGGGAGGCCAAGGCGAGCGGATCACAAGGTCAGGAGATCAAGACCATCCTGGCTAACACGGTGAAACCCAGTCTCTACTAAAAATACAAAAAATTAGCCGGGCGTGGTGGTGGGCACCCATAGTCCCAGCTACTCGGGAGGCTGAGGCGGGAGAATGGCGTGAACCCGGGAGGCGGAGCTTGCAGTGAGCCGAGATTGCGCCACTGTGCTCCAGCCTGGGCGACAGAGCGAGACTCCACCTCAAAAAAAAAAGAAAAAGAAAAGAAGAGAAAACAAAAAGAACCCCATAATGTAGAGCATGATCACAATTTTGTTTTCTTTGAAAGATTATCTGCCTAGGTATGCACAGAACACGACTGCATGAGCATGCGTTACTTCTGAAATGAAAATTAAATTAATTAAATATTTCTTTAAAATTTATTAAATAAAATGTAATGTTTTATTTACTTAAATAAAACAATAGGTTACTTTAAAAAAACTTAAAAAATACACAAGTTAAAAAAATAACTTGTGTATTTTTGTACACAAGTTACAAAATAACACTTGGCAATTTTAGAAGCGGCAGTGTGGGCTCTCGCGGGCTCTGGTCCTGAACTGAAGCAGAAAGCCTTGGTTCTGGGGAGCAGCAGCAGCAGCGAGCAGCCTGAACCCCAGAACGCACCCAGCTGCCACTCCAGCTCCTGCCCTCCTGTGCTCCTAGGACAGATGCACACAGACACATTCTTCTGTTAGTTCCCCTTCCCCAGGTTAGATTGATGAGGGGATGCTACTAAGCCCTGGGTTGACCTCTGGGAGCAGGGCCAGTCGGGGCAATCAGCCAGGCTCTGCCCCAGGCCATCTCTCAGCAAACAGCCCAGACGCTCAGGCTAAGAAGAGCCTTGTCAACCCACCCCAGGCCAGGCCCCTTTAAAAGCTACTCAAGAAGAGGCCCCAACTGTGGCTCTTTGCATTACAATCAGCCCAAGGCAGAGAGCATGAAATGGTCTCGATGTGTAAATTTTGTGTTTTACAATGAATATTGTATACTAACATCTTTTATATATATATATATATATGTGTGTGTGTGTGTGTATATATATATATATGTGTGTGTGTGTGTATATATATATATGTGTGTGTGTATATATATATATATATATATATATATATATATATATGTAATTTTAGGTCTTCTAGTATTCATGTATTTCATGAACGCTAGAATATTTTGTCTTCTTTTTTTTTTGAGACGGAGTCTGGCTCTGTCGCCCAGGCTGGAGTTCAGTGGCGCAATCTCAGCTCACTGCAAGCTCCGCCTCCCGGATTCACGCCATTCTCCTGCCTCAGCCTCCCGAGTAGCTGGGACTACAGGCGCCCGCCGCCACGCCTGGCTAATTTTTTGTATTTTTAGTAGAGACGGGGTTTCACTGTGTTAGCCAGGATAGTCTCGATCTCCTGACCTCGTGATCCGCCCACCTCGGCCTCCCAAAGTGCTGGGATTACAGGCGTGAGCCACCGTGCCCGGCCGAATAATTTGTTTCCTACAAAATAACACTGCATACCTACTTGGTCATTCAAAAAGAATTCTAGGGTGTTTTGTTTTTTGTTTTTGTTTTGAGACAGAGTCTCACCCTGTCGCCCAGGCTGGAGTGCAGTGGCGTGATCTCGGTTCACTGCAACCTCCACCTCCCGAGTCCAAGCGATTCTCCTGCCTCAGCCTCCTGAGTAGCTGGGATTACAGGCCCGCACCACTACGCCCAGCTAATTTTTAGTAGAGACGAAGTTTCACCATGTTGGCCAGGCTGGTCTTAAACTCCTGACCTCCAGTGATCCACCCACCTTCACTTCCCAAAGTTCTGGGATTATAGGCATGAGCCACCATGCCTGGCCCTAGGAATTCTAGGTTTTTTATGAGGCTGTATGATATACCTCATATAGGAATTATTTCTCACAATATTTATGTGTGGTTACCTTTGAGGCATAATTCAACTAGGAAGTTGAATTACACCCATTATTTAATGAGGAAGGACAAAATTACATTACCTTTCCTCAACATGAAGAAAAATAAGACTATACAATAAAAGCGTTTTGGAAGCCCCGTGTAAGATATTATAATTACAAAGACAATTGGAAAACCCCAAGTGGAAGTTGAACAGAACACTCTTGCTCCTGGGAAGCATCAGAAATAGTCCGAGGATCCTGAGTGGGTGAGTCTTGGGTTTCCAATCTCAAGTGGTGATCCAGCATGGAGAGGAAGAGAATGACCAGAGAGAGAAGTAACCATGAAGTATTTTCCCAAAAATATTGAAAGGCATCGTTTGTCTTTCCCTTTACATGTAGATTCATCTTTTTGTATCCAGGGAAGGAAGGCATGATGCCTGGTCCCCAAGTGCTGCTCTGTAGCAAGACCTGGTCCAGATGCAACCAGTGTGTTGTATTGGGTAAGACAGCCATAACTCACACAACATCTTTACCAGATGGCAAAACCAGCATAGGTGCACCAAAAGGTCTCTTGAAGAAGGCTCCTAGTGCCTGTAATAGCTTCCTCATTTCTGTCCCCTAGCAGTCTAAGAATAGACTAGAATAGATGCACAGGTGACCTCCAAGAAATACTAGAGAAAATAGGGCTTGGGAGCAGATTCTTATGTCCCTGAATCTGCCCTTTTCCAAAAATCTTACATGATCCTAAAATCTAGCAAAGCTATTTAAATTAAAAGCAAAGAGTTTTAAACCTGTATCACAGATTCTTTTTTCCACATTCTGGTCATATTTTAACAGTTTCATTGGATTGTAAGACCTGCTTTAAATATCCCCAGGACAGATAGAGTAATCAGCGTCACCTATTTTATGTATGAGGCCAATAGTGAATTTCCCAATCACTGACTACATTCCTGTGTTTTCTGAGATGAGTTCCAGCAGACGCCACTTTCTGACAGAGCAAGAGGCTGATTTGGGTTCCACCTTCATTCAGAGGTCTACAGACCTGGGAGAGGTGTTGGCCAAATCACTTCACCCTTCAGGGATGAAATGTTCACCTTTGCAAAATAAAGAGGTTGATCATTTCCAAAGTCCTTTCCAACTCCAACATTCCAGAATGATTCCATAAATAAATATTAGATGACAACTTGTAGTTGTTTTAATGGTAGAAATTTAAGCCAACAATTTAGCCTACAGAGACAATGACCTGAGCAGAGAGTCAGCCCTTGAAATGAGAAATCTGCAAAACCGCAGGGGAAGGCAGAACAAAAGCCTTTGACAGCAGGAAGCTAAACTGAGCCTCTTTTTCCACTTTTCATTCGTCCTAGGCACTCCTTCCCCAGCTGATATGTCCACCTTCCACAAATAACCAGAAAGCAAACACATATTATGTATGCAACTACGAGCCATGTGTCATTTGTCTGGATTTTCATTTTTTAATAAGCTCTCTTATCATTAAGCCTCTCTCATTTTAACTTCTTTGCATCCTTCCAACAACTGTGTAATGAGGACGCAGTAAAACCCAAGCACGTAATAAGAGCAGATTACTCCTTTTAAAAAGCTGACCTGAAGTTCTAGTTTACTAACCAAAATGACTGGAGCCAGGCATATTAGTCCTTTAACCTTTTTATTACGTATATACATGAAAACAATTAAAGCTGGGATTTCTTTCCAGTGTATTATCATTTTCTCTTCCCCCTGGCCTTTTTCCATCACATTTCAAAGAATTTACATCATATCCACTGCAGAGTCTCTCCTGTTTCCATTCTTTTCCCTCCTTTCCTCTTAACAACGGTCATCCTTTTAAGGTTAGCCAACCATGGGCTATCATTATACACCAGCAGTTCAGTCGGGTTGGTACAGCAGCCGCAAATAAGAAGAAAAAAAGAAAAAAAAACGAAAGGAAAAAAGTTGTGGGGTGGGGGCATTTAAAGCTCCTCATAAAATTAAATCTTAGATTTAAATTCTCCCTCATATTTTATTGTCTTTTCTTTTCTTTTTCCTGTGGTAAATGGTAATTAGAGTCAATAATCTTTTGCTGAGAGAGCACCTTGTCTTCACAGTGTTTATATCATCATCATCAAAGATCTGCCTTAAGGCCCTGGCGTGTTAATAATTTAAGGTGTGCACAGCCTAGTTATAGCAGGAAGCCTAGTTATTGAGTTTGTAAACCAGCCGATGATTTATGGCAACACCTTGCGTGAGTCATGCTCATTAAATAAAATACTTCGGTTTAATAAGGAACATGGGGTACACAGTTCTTCCCGTTACAGGGTGAGTGTGCAATTGGAGATTGTTGAGTTTTGTCGCCAGGTTCACCACGGCGATTTTGTCTTAATTGTGTTGGCAGGCAAGGGAGGGAGGGCCATGTGTCTGTGTACATCTGCACATGTATGCATAGCGTGTTGGCCTTCTTCCTCCCCAACAGGGGCTACGAGTCTAGAGCTTTCTCTCCCTTGAGAAGCTGTATCACAGAAGCCAAACTCTCTGATAGAATGTTAAATCTTTCTCTAAAAGGCTACTAATTAAGAAACCAGAAATGTTCATGGAAATAAAATTACAAGAAAAAAATCAATATACGGTTGTTAAATGTAGCCTGCATTTAAGAGCCATAACCATATTTTACTGTTAAATGCTACGGTTTACTCATTAGGAATTCCTAAGCAGGCTGAGACAGCAAAAGGCAAACACAGCATTCTGGTATGTTTAAAAGAAAATTTGTACGCAAGGTACACTTTTTGTTTTTTTAATGTCCCGTATCTGGGACTTTGAAAAAAAAATCGGAATCATTTAGTTGGATGTACTGTTTCCAAACAAATGCATTCCAACAACCACTTGCATTTCTATTACTCTGAATTAATTGATCAGAGCATGAAGTGGGCGCTGAGAAAGGTGAGAAGCTACGCTTGTTTTGTTTCACAGATTTCCATACAAAATGAAATTTCAGGCCAGGAGCGGTGACTCATGCCTGTAATTCCAGCACTTTGGGAGGCTGAAACTGGAGGATCGCTTGAGCCCAAGAATTCAAGACCAGCCTGGGCAACATAGTAAGACCTCATCTCTACAAATAATTTTAAAAATTAGCTGCGTGTGGTGATGTGTGCCTGTGGTTCCAGCCACTCAGGAGGCTGAGGTAGGAGGATCACTTGAGCCCAGGAGGTCAAGGCTACAGTAAGCAGTGATCATGCCACTGCACTCCAGCCTGGGCAACAGAGTGAGATCCTATCTCAAACGAAAAAAAAAATGAACTTTAATATTTGGTTGTGTTTATTGTTGCATGATCTCTAGGAAAACTTTCCAAAAAAAAAAAAAAAAAGGGTAAGGAAAGACAAACTGAACTTCTGTTTCACGTGTCTGAAAAACTCCCACCTTTGGGACATTTCTGAGCAATACTTAAAAATGTTCTAGGCTGGGTGCGGTGGCTTATGCCTGTAATCCCAGCACTTTGGGAGGCCAAGGCAGGTGGATCACTTGAGGTCAGGAATTCGAGACCAGCCTGGCCAACATCCTGTCTCTACTAAAAACACCAAAAAAATTAGCCAGGTGTGGTGGCGCATGCCTGTAGTCCCAGCTACTAGGTAGGCTGAGGCAGAAGAATCGCTTGAACCCAGGAGGCGGAAGTTGCAGTGAGCTGAGATCGCGCCACTGCACTCCAGCCTGGGCGACAGAGACTCTGTCTCAAAAAAAAAAAAAAAAAGAAAGAAAGAAAGAAAGAAATGTTCTATAAGCAGAATCACTGAAACAAAAATCAATCACATTCATTTCATACGCTAAATATAGTCAGTGGTTTTTACCAGCTTTCTTTAGAAAATAAATGTATCTTCAAAGGGAGCTGCCGCAGCCAGGGAGTCCGCTGAGTGAGTAGGTTTACTTTGTGGTCTCTGTTTTACCGCGGAGAAAATGGCTAATCTGAGTTTCGAATTACAGCGCTTCCTTCCCAGGAACCCTACCTGCTTTTAGTCTGGTGCTCAATTTGCACGAACTGTCGCCGCTGTTTGTTGATATGGCTTCCATATTCAGAAACCCCACATACTACTCAAGACTAGGAAGCACGTCATAGCCTGCCCTGATTTTAAATAAAGTTTTACATTTTGCTTTGATAGTATAGGATACTATATTCCCTTTCCTGAGGTTGGGAGTTCGAGACAAGCCTGGCCAACATGGTGAAACCCCGTCTCTACTAAAAATACAAAAAAATTAGCTGGGCGTGGTGGTGGGCGCTTGGAGGCCGAGACCGGAGAATCATTTGAACCTGGGAGGTGGAGGTTGCAGTGAGCCAAGATCACATTGCACTCCAGCCTGGGCGACAAGAGCAAAACTCGGTCTCAAAAAAATCAAAAAAATAAAAACAGAAAGGACCCAGTTTTTCAAGTGTAGTCAATTTTATCCAGCCTCAAAATTTTTATTTTATTTTACTTATTTTTTATTGCTCCTTATGGGGCAGGGCTACCCCATAGGCAGTGTCCCCAGAGTAGCACAGCCTCAAAATATTAAGAAGTACTTACCTTACTCATTTCTAAGACCAATTGTATTCCTTTTCTCTTCATGCACAGAAATCTTGTATAGAGAAGTAGTTTCACATTGAAACACTTTATTCAAAATATTTTAAATTCTAAGTGGCCTCATGGACATTTTAATACGTGACATTTATAAGACAAATCAGACTGTAAGCTTCTAGCAGACCAAGAATAGGCAGATGTATTAGTTTCTATATTATATTTAACAGTGTCATATAGTTAAGTTATTACTAAATAGTGATTGCATTAACAGGACCCATGCTATTATCTAGTGCCTCCTTAGGTTTGACAATGTTTTCCTTTTCTGTAATGAACTACAGATCTGGCTTGCACATGATTTTTACAATTTTAGCTTTGATTTCAGAAATGTACATGTTTAAGAATAAATTAAATAGCTGCAAGTCCATAAAAAAATCTGTGTGTGTGTTTGTGTGTGCACTCCCATAAACTTGCTTTAAGACCAGCAGACTGAGGCCCTTGAGATTTTAATAAATATGTCCAGGGTCATATAATTGTTGGTTACTTTGGTTCATCTAATAATGAAAACATAACTCTCATTCTTTGTGTTCTTACAATACTTTTCAGGGTCTCAGAGCTCTTTCCCAAGAGTGTTTCACACCTGCTTGTTTGCCCTCAGCCTCGGTGGCGGAGCAGATCCCTCCAAGTAAACAGCTACATCCCCACGGTGCCTGTAACAACTCACAAAGCGTGCAGTCCCTAAACCCCACTCCGAGGAAGGCCCTTAAACTAAAGCCACTCCCATGTAATTCACCCTTGGTAGAATCTAAGATCAGTCTCTGTTGCCATCAGTTTCACTGTAGGGTAAATAATGTTTGAGTTCCTGGAAATGTCTCCTTATTTTCTGTTCTTGCAGTTCCACGAATAAGTATCCCAAAATAAGGGCAAAACATGAGCATTTTGAAAACATTTGTTTTCCAACCTGCCGGCTGCATTTTCCACCAAGGCATTGGACACGCACTCTGACTGAGCCCGCACATTCCCCACAGGCCAACTGCCTTTGACGTCAGTGGGAGCTTGGCCTTCTCGAAGACAGAGGCAAAGATAATATTTGCAAAGTCAGCTTTGCAAAATTCAGCTTTTCTCCGCTTTGCTGCAGATTGAATGATAAGCCTGGGACCAGCAGAGATAACGTTTCACAGGGGTTTCCCTATCTGGACCCTCCTACCAAATTCGTGGAAATCAGTCTTTAAGAAAACCGGACGAGCCACTCATAATGGCCTGGCCACCACACCTGTCTGATAGCATCTCAGCTACTCCCTTCAAAGACAACAACGGGGTAGCAATTTTTTTAAATGCCTCTGTTACAATACAGTATATTTTACTCACTGCACCAAAATGTCAGCACAATGGAAAACAGATTGTTTACGCTGACCCAAGGATAAATATTTACGAGCCAGCAAATACAAACCTTGTCAAAGTCGACTGGTCAACAAGCAATCTTCCAGGAGAGGGACCCATTTTATGAAGGGTGTGTACTTTCTGACGTCAGCCATTTTGCAAGGGGACATTTGGGGACACTGTTGTCAAAAAGAATCCTCCGTTTCACGGGCTACATAGCAGCAACTGCCATACCAAATATCTTTTCTGCCATTCCTGAATCTCAGACAGAGACTTCTCTCTCTAGAAATAAAGACAGTCTAGGGGAAAAAACAGTGGTGGAGAGATAAAATCTTTAAAATGTTGCATTAGGAGTTCTTCTCTTTTCCTCCCTTTACTTTGTGTGAGGACAGTGACTGCCGCAGCTAGCCGCTCCCTCAGCCACCCTGAATGTATAGTTGCCTCCAGTGCCCCAGGGCCAGAAGAGATTTCTTTACGGGAGATGCAATCAGCTCTAACCAATCAGTAAGAAGGGTTAATCAGCTGATCGATTGGTCCCTGAGCAGCTGGGACCTGGCTCCTCTCTGACTGGCTCTAGCCTGGCCTTGGGGTAAGAGGTTGGGAACTTTTAATTATCCACAGCAGCCACTGCTCTGATTGAATGGTCAATGGGTTTACTACTGAGGCGGCGCTGCTTGAATAATAATAGAAAACAATGTGGATGCCGGCAAGTGCAAACAGAGGGCCAGAAAAGGCACTTGGATATGTAGAATGCACGTTAAGATGAGTTAATTGCCTGGCAGAAACCAAATTTCAAAGGTCTTGAAAGGTGTTTTATGGAAGCAGAGTAGATGCTTGGGGAGGCATCAGCGAGATCACATTTTTTTCTTTTGTGACTCTTGGGTCTGTGACCATTGCTGGCTACACAATGTTGCCCCAGGACAAAGGATAACTTGCTTACCCCAGTGGTTAAAGAAATGATCACTGGAGGAAATCTGTATTTTGACATTTGCAGGCACTGTCAGGGTTTAATTATTTTTCTTTGTAAACTTCCTTGAAAAATAATCATTCCCTAGTTCCACTATGTAAGATGTGCTCATGGGGTGGGGAGGTTGGGTGGCATAATTAAATCATGCCAAGAAATATAGCGTTAACACCCAAAGGTTTTTAAAAGCTTTGTTCGACTGTGTGTTGTGGAGATCTTTCTACTTCACCCTCCCTAAGCAGAATAAATCATCAATCCAATAACTCACTACAATATGCTGATCTTTCCTTTCCCGGGTTAAACAGCTCACTCGTAGTGGTTCCTTCTTCCCTTGAACATAAAAACCAACAAGTGCCTCCAAATAAAAATGGTATTTGTGTTCAAGTCCTCTGAGAGTGTCACAGTGGAGGCAAATGCCCCAAAAGGGCAAACAGCTCCATGCCCTGGCAGTGGGGTTAGCAAAAGATGTAAGCAATTTCACAGAACTGCTGAAAAGGATGTTTGAGTTCAATTTTTTTAAAAAAAAGAAAGAATAGTCCATTTGGCACAGAGACTCACGTTTGGAGGGGTGGTGGGAAAAGGCAACTAGACCCCTCTGGAAGGTATCCCCTGGAATCCTGGTCAAGATCTTCAAATTATCAGAGATCAGAAATCATCCTATTTCAGCAGATTCCACGTTAAAAATGTGCCTTTCTCCAGTGATCTCACATAAACACTAGAGCTCATCAGGCTCCGCTGGAGTCATTACTATTTATATTACCATACCCTGGCTGTGTGCAGTCAATTCATAATTGTCCAGTTTTTCTAATTAATCACAAAAGATTTTTGTTTTGCCTGCAGCTAGTTCTGGGGTGACTCACGACGGCAAGCCAAAGCTCATACATCAAACACAGGCCCTCTCTCACTCCAGCCTTCTGCTGGGAAGGCTGCTCTGCGCCTCTCGACCAAAGAGGCACGCACTGGGCATGTGCGGCCCCGGGCGCAGGAGAAGCCGGAGATCCGTCCTCTACTGTGTGACTTGTTATTTTTATCTGATGCTTGCATTCTCGGGCCAAGTCAGACCCAAAGAGCACGGCCAGGTTTCTAAATTCAGAGCCCTGTTGCTCTGGTTCCTGTTCCTCCCTCTTTTCTGTGTTCCTCCTCGTTGTCTTTCATCAAATTAAGACTATAGTGCTTCCAAGAGAGAGATTAGGACATCATTTTTCATATTCTTCAGTCCTTTCAATGGTGACCTTTTATGGAGGCAACAACAAAGAATGTCACCAGAAGAAGGAGGGAAGAAAGCACAGCTTCTGCATTTTATTCTACCAAATCCACATCAAGGCAGGGCAGGAGGAAATATCTTTTTTTTTTTTTTTTTTGACTGAGTTTTGCTCTTGTTGCCCAGGCTGAAGTGCAATGGCGCAATCGCAGCTCACCGCAACCTCTGCCTCCCGGGTTCAAGGGATTCTCCTGCCTCAGCCTCCCGAGTAGCTAGGATTACAGGCATACGCCACCATGCCCAGCTAATTTTTTGTGTGTTTTTAGTGGAGACGGGGTTTCTCCAATTTGGTCAGGCTGGTCTCGAACTCTCGACCTCAGGTGATCCCCCCACCTTCGCCTCCCAAAGTGCTGGGATTACAGGCGTGAGCCACCCACCTGGCCGGACATATCTATTTAATGTGCAGTTTATCTTACTGAAAGGTATTTCGGCAGGTGACCCGTTGGAAATGTGTCTGGTGCAAATAACCTCTAGGATTGCTAGGAAGGGGCCCAGGGCCACCACTGGCCTGAGTCAAAGCAGCTGGGTTTGCCTAATAGAAATGATCAGAGGGTCAACTGGAAGGAGGCAGGCAGAGGCCGCCTGTGTAACCTGCATTGCATGTGAAGAATTTCAAGGTGAGATCAATCTATTTGGAAGATCTTGTTTGATCACATTCGGTCTGCGTAGGCGTTGGCACAGGGTCAGCACAGTGACAGGAAAAAGCATGGCGCTTGCTCTATGAAATCTTCAGGACTCAAGCAGATGCTTTGGAACTGTCAGATGACTCCTAGTTGCTGATTTTATATATTGATTAATTTTGCAAGCCTCATATACTTAATACTATTCTTGATATGTCCTGATAGCAGATATAGTCCATGTAGCACCGGATATAAACTTTTCCTTGTGTAAGACACTGTTTACAAGTCCACAATGCTCCCACCTGCCGATCTCCCCAAACCCCACTTGTCCTTTAGGTTTAACTAGATATCACCTCTGCTGAGAACTCAGTCTCCCCTGACCACTCACCCCCCATCCCCAGACACCTGTTCCTGACACCTGTGAGATGCGTCTTTTCTGCACTCCCGTCAAAGCCTATGCTGCCTGTGTCATAGCACACGTCACAGGCTGTTGAAATTACTTTTGTGCCTGCCTGCTTCCCTCGCATGGCCATGTGCCCTGTGAGAGGAGGGATCGTGGTGCTCATCCTAAGCTCGGCCCGTGACTCCATGTGTGCCTCCAGGAGAGAAATACCTCTGAGAAGAGATTTATCATTGGATGGGAAGGTCATAGTGAGTGTGAAGGAGAACGATGATGAAACTTAACTTTTTAGATTTATTTCCCAAGTTATTTACCCTTCTAGTGTTACCTTCACCTGTCCACCCCCTCACTGGTGCCCTATTCTGTTAACTCCAGAGAATTCAGTCTCCCTCGCCAGCCCCTGCATTCTTTAGTTCATTTTGAATCATAACAACAATAAAATTGAAGAACGCTCTTATTGTCTCCTGATTAGGGAGAGCCAAGCATACCTGGAGTTGTGTTTTGGCTCTTGGCTCTCTCCCTTTCTGCAACCTATTTGCATATATGAGGAGTGGGGGCGGAGAGGGGGGGACATCAAAGGGACAAGCTGCTTGTTTGATCTAATTAGTCTATTTTTCATTCTTTCCAAAAACACTGGGGAAGGGGAATTCCAGATAGTCCTGGGATCTCTGTGAGGTAAATTAGTTTTTAGGCAGGGAGGCCTGGATTTTCTTTAACACGATAGCTGCACCATGAACAAAAAAACTGAGATCACCAGCCCTTTGGACTTCATATAAATTCATACATTTTTATTGAGCACTTGCTGTGTTTTGGCACACATTGGGTGCTCCGGGCACCTACTCTTATTTATAAGCAAACATCAAGCTTGCTAGTCTTCTGGGGCGACAAAACCTCCGCAAGCTATTACAAGCCTAGAAAGGTAAATAACTTGGTGTGGTGGAAGGATATTCACGCACCATGGAAACTTGCAATGGAAGGGACTCCTATGGTCTAAGGGACTCCTATGGTCTGAGGTGGGAGCATCCCACAAAAAGTGCATGAAGTTCCTTTTAAGTCTAGTCGTGAAGAATGACAAGGCTAGACGTGCTCTGCAAGCAGATGGAAATGAGTGAGCTATGCTCCCTCCCTGAGGAGGAGGAAAATGTCCACAGCTGGGGCATGGAAAGGGAATGGAAGCTCAGCTCTCCCAGTCACTGAGCTCTCCATAGGGAGCGCCTTGTACACCACAGAAAAAAATTTCAATCGTGTCCCAAGGACACTGGGGAAGCACTAAAGACGAGTTTTAAACAGGTGCATTCAAGACTCAGATTTCTGTTGTCTACAGGGCTCTCTGGTTGGGGTGTGGAGATCAGAGAGAGGTAAGATGGGGAATGGGGGATTCATCAGGCAGCCCCTGCAGAGATCTAGTGAGAAATGATGGCAACCTGGACGGGAGTGGCCACCGTGGGGATGGGAGGAAGTGGAGGGTTTTCCATGGGGATAGAGGGATGTGGGCAGGTTTTCCGTGGGGATAGAGGGACGTGGGGGTTTTCCGTGGGGATGGAGGGATGTGGGCAGGTTTTCGGTGGGGATGGCGGGACGTGGGCAGTTTTCCGTGGGGATGGCGGGACGTGGGCAGTTTTCCGTGGGGATGGCGGGACGTGGGCGGTTTTCCATGGAGATGACGGGACGTGGGCGGTTTTCCTTGGGGATGGCGGGACGTGGGCGGTTTTCCGTGGAGATGACGGGACGTGGGCGGTTTTCCGTAGGGATGGTGGGACGTGGGTGAGTTTTCCGTGGGGATGGAGGGACGTGGAGTGTTTTCCATGGGGATGGAGGAACGTGGGCGGTTTTCCGTGGGGATGGAGGGATGTGGCGGGTTTTCCGTGGGGATGGAGGGACGTGGGCGGTTTTCCGTGGGGATGGAGGGACGTGGGCGGGGTTTCGAGGCATTCAGAAGGTGTTAAGAGAAGACGAAGGAAAAATGAATGGTGGAACTCTCCTGAAGAACAACTAAGATTTGTTTCTTCAGTATTTCAGGCGTTCAATCCTGCTTTGTCTAGTGACTTTAAGCCCAAGAAATCTGAAACTTAATGAGTTTGGGAAAAGTAAATTAGGGGTGAAACTGTGGCACGCACTACTGCTGACTGAAACAAGACCCAGCTGAGGACATTTTCTTAACTAATATCTCTCTCTCTCCCTCTCTCTCTGTCTCTCTCCCTCCCTCCCTCCCTCCCTCTGTATCATGAAATTGCACACTCGCCCATTCGCACCTATTTGGAACCAAAAGAGACTTGAGGCAGCAATCCGATTTACTTTACAATCCCGACCTACACCCACCCCACCTCTTACCCAAATAAAGGAGCATTGCACTCGCCTGCCACACACAATTCACTCTTCATTGGGGCCAGGAGGCACCTGAGAGGCTCTAGAAAAGCTCATTCTCTTTTTGAGACTTAAGTTTCTCCCTTGTTACATTGGAGAAGAGTAGAAATCATATTTATTCAATTCTCTGCAAATGGCATGAGTAGTGAGTGATCAGATAAACCAAATTGAACTCTGAAGGCCAATGCCCTAAAACCACAAAAAATTCTTCTCTGAGAGTGAGTCTGACGTTCCAGCCTCCGCCATCCTCCCCAACCCCACTCCCACCTTAGTGAGAGCAACGATAAACATTTGGATGAGTAAGTTACTGACTTCAGAGACCTGCTACCGATAGCCTCAGAATAGTCACCCAGAAAGAGAATTTTAAATCTATTCGAAAATTCTAGAAGTAAAATTTTATTATCTGAGACTAAAAGTAAGTTAGGAATTATAAAATATCGACAGCAAGGGCATTTCATATCAATAACAACTCTAGGCACAGTTAAGTACCTTATCAGGTTTCTAGTTGCATTTTTTCCCTAATTCATAATATCCTAGACAGCCAATTTCTCCTTCCCTGGGAAGGATTCTGAATTCTCAATATGAGCCTTTTTTTTTTCTAACAAAGAATAGCTACACAAGTGGCTTTTAATTCTCTAATGCTCATATAATAGGGGTCTTGATGCTAAAAATAGGCACTCTCTCAGGTAGCTGCATAAGGATAAATTCCCTTCCTACTCCTCTTGAAGGAGTTTTGAAAAACGAAAGAGAACAGCTTCATTTTTAAAACTACCATTTGTAGGCCGGGCGTGGTGGCTCACGCCTGTAATCCCAGCACTTTAGGAGGCCGAGGCGGGCAGATCACGAGGTCAGAAGATCGAGACCATCCTGGCTAACACGGTGAAACCCCATCTCTACTGAAAATACAAAAAAAAAAAATTAGCTGGGCGTGGTGGTGGGCACCTGTAGTCCCAGCTACTCGGGAGGCTGAGGCAGGAGAATGGCGTGAACCCGGGAGGCAGAGCTTGCAGTGAGTGGAGAGCGCACCACTACACTCCAGCCTGGGCGACAGAGCAAGACTCCGTCTCAAAAAAAATAAAACACAAACAAAAAAAACTACCATTTGAAAAAAACAAAAACAAAAACAAAAAACTGTGTAAGTGAAAGACTCCTAAACCCAATCCATCTCTTTCTTCATTTAACTGAGATTGTGTATATGGAGTAACAAAATTCCAAGTCAACACAATGGCATGGCATCTTAGAGCCTATTGAAAAAGGATTTGAACTCTAGAGTGCACACAAACACGGGGCAGGGCAAGGAGATGATAAAGGAGAATCCCCTCAGCTTCATTCCTGGGCCTCAGACTAAATATTGCAAAGTAAGAAAGGATAGGCCAGGCACGGTGGCTGAAGCCTGTAATCCCAGCACTTTGGGAGGCCGAGGCCAGGTAGATTACTTGAGGTCAGAAGTTTGCGACCAGCCTGACCAACATGGTGAAACCCCGTCTCTACTAAAAATACAAAATTAGCCGGGTGTGGTGGTCCATGACTGTAGTCCCAGCTACTTGGGAGGCTGAGGCAGGAGAATCACTTGAACCCAGGAGGCGGAGGTTGCAGTGAGCCGAGATCACACCATTGCACTCCAGCCTGAGCAACAAGAGTGAAACTCCATCTCAAAAAAAAAAAAAAGAAAAGAAAGGATATAGGAAAACATTGGGGATTTGATTGGAGAGAAGTTTTTGTAGGAGCAAAGGATGTCCTCTTTTCCAATCATTAAAAGCATTCCTTATTTTCCCTTTTTAACCTGTGCTTCCAATTCTACCTCTTACCCAGGAATCTGCTTCTAGCTTCTTTTCCACAAGTGGGAACCTGATCTGGGAAGAGGCCTTCTGGAGAAATCTCACTTGTCCTGGTTGGAAAAAGCCCTGGGAAGACTCAAGCACAGTCCCTGGTCTGGTCTGTGTACCTGAGCACATGGCTACTGAGCTCTCCTAAGTCCTGGGGTATAGGTTCTCTAGAGCTGGCACTAAAAGTCGGGTTCCAGGATAAGTCAGCCATTCTTTCCAGAGCTTCCCTCAATCAGCTGGAATGGAGACACACTTCCTCCAGACAGATGGACCAGTAGGGCAGAGTGGGAGCACTGAGATGGCACTGTCCTCTCCATAATGTCCAGGACAATGACCAACCCTGGATGGGAGCCTCTTTGTACTCTGGCTGCTTTTGTCTCGGTGGCTTTCTTTTTTTTTTTTTTTTTTTTTTGAGACGGAGTTTCGCTCTTGTTGCCCAGGCTGGAGTGCAATAGCGCCATCTTGGCTCACCGCAACCTCTGTCTCCTGGGTTCAAGCAATTCTCCTGCCTCAGCCTCCGGAGTAGCTGAGATTACAGGCATGCACCACCACACCTGGCTAATTTTGTATTTTTTAGTAGAGACGGGGTTTCTTCGTGTTGTTTCAGGCTGGCCTCTAACTCCTGACCTCAGGTGATCCGCCCGCCTCGGCCTCCCAAAGTGCTGGGATTACAGGCGTGAGCCACTGTGCCCGGCCCCTATGGCTTTCTAGGAGTGCTGGGATGGCTAAGCAATGCCACGTAGCTGAGGCAAAGGAAGGCATTGGTTTCCCATGCTACCTCCTCTTTCTGCTGTCTTGCCATCCTTTTTTTTCATTTTTACTTCCAGATTTTCAGTCAAAGGAAAGATACGTTCATGCATTTAAGCACTTGGCCTCAAAATAAAAATCTAAGCTGAAAGCAAACTTCGAAGACTTGCTCTTCCATGAGTCATTTTCTAGCAGTATAGAAATTACAACTACAGCTCAAATTAAAAAAAAAAAATGCTCAGCATCTCATTGAGAAGCTCACCTCTCCTACAACTTTTGAAGAGTTGCAGATGAGTCAGGGTAAGGCGGGAAGCTGAAAACTCAAGTCGCTTTACTTTAGATTCTGTGATTTTTCATCCTTTAGCTAAAGCTACAATTACAGAGAAGGTTCTCAATCACCAGTATTCTGGAAGTGAGTCATCAGATGAACTGGGAATGAAGCTATTACTGAGTGTCTGCTCTTCAGAGACAGAGAGAAGTGGATTGAGGTGGAGTTTTTGCTGATTTATAAGCATTAAATCAGATGAGGATAATGGCAAATATGCCTAGCTTTCTTATAACACCATATGAACAGCAATCATTCTCCAATACCTTAGAGGAGTAGCTCACAACACGCAGGTAATATAAGCAGCAGGAAAGGAGGTTGAAAGTGACTTTCTGTCATCCCCGCATTAGTGGAACGGTAAGATGAATGTTGCGTCTTGAAATGCCTCGCATTTTTTTGCCTGCTATTATTAACCTTGCATGCTTCTAAGCAGCACGGGGTCCTGGAGAAAAAGGTTCTAACAAGTGGATATTTGAGGGCAGAGATTGCGATCAGAGGTAGGCTGAATTGTATTTGCTTCCTTTAACCTTCCTTTGTGCTTGCCATCCACTATGTTGATGCAGCTGCTCCTTCCAGTTAGAAAGACTTCACAAATGCAGCAGCGAAATGGAGCTGGGTTCAGCGCAATGTTAGATTCAAATAAGGTACCTCCATCGCTCCTCCAAGACAGTGGGAAAGTGCCCATCAGAGAAGTGTTGAAGGGCGTGTCCTCAAGGCCAACTACAAACATCATAAGGGGCTTTGTGTTTTACAGCATCTTCTCTCTCCTGGTATGGGTCCTCTACTCTGATTTTCCTTTTTATCAGGCTAAAGAGGATATATTTTATCACGATGGCTTTATATCCAATGTGTACAGGCCAACACAAATAAGGGTATTACAAGTTAAAGAACTGTACCTCAGGCACCATTTTATTAGAACTAGTGTTCACATCAAACAATACATCCTAAGTACTTTATATTAAGCGTGGACAAATCATTTGCCTGAGGATTAGATGTTGTGCCATTGAAATGTAATCCTGCTGTTGATTTTTTTCTTAACTGCCAAACCAAACATGGTCAAAGAAGTAACTCTAAAAGCTGCAACAGGAGCAATCTTATCCTACATTTCACGCATAGAATAAAAACTGGAGCTGAAACTAGTGTAACACGGCAATATAAATTGCAGTTTCACTCCACTGCACACTTCTCTGTGGTGTCTAATATATGTGACTAAGTTTGCTTTGATTATCAGAGTGTACCAATTACAGTGCATTCTCAAAGCATATAAAACAGATTATATACACTTAGCATTATAAAGAAAGCAGTGCCCAGTAGAAGTCTAGCAAGACCACCTGAATTCCCATCAATGTGGCACGTTCCCAAGTAATCCGCTTGGCCCTTCTTCTCAGCTATCCCATCCCTAAAGGCGAGAGAATGAGGGGGAAGTCCTAGTGCAAAGGACCACTGTGGCAGGTGATTTTACTCTCTCAGGGCAGGGCCGTATTCTTTAGGACACTGGAAAAATAATTTGCAAATAGTCATCAGAGATTTGTTACATTGTGGTTTCTGAGTTCTTATGCTATGGAATTTGTCTTATAATCAAAGACACTTTTTTAAAAAAGTCCAGATACGACATCCTATTGCAGTACATCCTTGCCTTATTCCAAATTCCATAAAGATTTGCCAGGTGAAGAGGACACATACATCAATGTAATATAGTGGTTAAGAATGGAGTCAGGGTCGGGTGCAGTAGCTCACACCTGTAATCCCAACACTTTCGGAGGCCAAGGCAGGTGGATCACGAGTCCAGGAATTCAAGACCAGCCTGTGCAATATGGTGAAACCCCATCTCTACCCCCAAAAATATACAAAAATTAACTGGATGTGGGGATGCATGCCTGTGGTCCCAGCTAGTTGGGAGGCTGAAATGGGAGGAGCGCTTGAACCCAGGAGGTCAAGGCTGCTATAAGCTACGATTGCACCACTGCACTCCAGCCAGGCAACAGAGCGAAACCCTGTCTCAAAAAAAAAAAAAAAAAGAAAAGAAAAGAAAAGAAAAGAAAAGAAAGAATGGAGCCAGACTTTCTGAGTTTGCATCTTTGTTCTGCCATCTGTGCTATTTAATCTTGAGTAATTTACTCAACCTCTCTGGGCCTCAGTTTCTTAGAAGATGGGAAGAAGAAGAAGAATATCTATCTCCTAGGTGTCTGTGAATATTGAATGAGTTCACCAATAGGAATTACTCTTAGCTTTTTTCCCTCACTCTTAACATTAACTCTAGTGCTGTATTCAGAAGGGAGAGTTCCCACTTCCTGTCTTCAGTTCTCTCTGTGACACCCAGACTGTTTTTCTATCACAGCAGAAATAAGCTGTGCAAGGAGAACTCTGATCAGAGGAGACAATACTTGAGCTGGCAGGAACTCTTCTCCGTACACACTTCTGTGACGTCGGTAAGGCTGGTTACCTTAAAGTCTCAACTTAATAACTTTTCTTCCAGTCTAACTGTAATGCAGATACTTCTCTCTGGATCGGTCTGCTAAAACCATGCCACCTGCACAGGTGTGTCAAGCAGGAACATGGGAAATGCAATGCTGGCGTCAACAGTGGACCCTCTGTAGATGTGGGGTGCAGAAAGAGTATGACAATTATTAGCAACTACATTGGAAAATTTTTAATAGTCAAACAGAATACTTGGGTAAGTTACTAATGCTTGATTGGATTTATTAACTCATGGAACCAAACCTTTATTGATTGCCTAATTCATGGCAGGCATCGTTCTTGGTTACTGGGGTTACAAAGCCTGAGGGACTGAACGAGTAGATTCGCTTGATCATTCGTTCACTCATTTGTTCACCTGTGCCTTCATTTAACTAGCGTTTATGTATAGCGTTTCTGTATTTATGTGCCAGTCCCTGTATGAGACACTCCAGTAAGCGAGACAGGGATACCAGTGTCCCTGGGGACATACCAGTTCCTGAGTCTCTTGGTCTAAGAGTTTCTGAAAATAACCCACACCTTGTAAATACTCACTAAATACTTATGGCCTGAGAAATTACAGGAAGCCTCTCTTGTCAGCAATATCCAGCACTCATTTTTGTTGTAGGCCTTTAATCTTCCCCAGTCACAAACCAAAGCAGTTCAGCATATTCAAAACATAGGCCCCTTCATAATCTGCTTCCGACGGGCTCGTTCTCAGGTCCACTTTGCAATATCTGATTAAACATATAAAGGGGAGGGCTTCTCGTTTCAGAGATCCTGGAAATCAATCAAGAAGGAATCAATCAAGTAGAAATCAATGAACAAGGTGGGCAGCCTCCATGGGTCCAGCCTTCCTGAGTATGTCTCTGTCACTGAAAAGAAAAGGAAGTATGTGAAAACAGAGCAACGGGTGCTTCTTTCCCACAGAATTGCCTACAAAACATTAAGAGACGAATGCCATCATCTGTCTATTTTCCTGAATAAATAAAATATAGAAAAGTCAGATGGGGCCGGGTGAGGTGGCTCACACCTGTAATCCCAGCACTTTGGGAGGCCAAGGCGGGCGGATCACAAGGTCAGGAGATCGAGACCATCCTGGCTAACACGGTGAAACGCCGTCTCTACCAAAAAATACAAAAAAGTTAGCCGGGCGTGTTGGTGGGTGCCTGTAGTCCCAGCCACTCAGGAGGCTGAGGCTGGAGAATGGCATGAACCCGGGAGGCGGAGCTTGGAGTGAGCCACTGCACTCCAGGCTGGGCGACAGAGCAAGACTCTGTCTCAAAAACAAAAAAAAAAAGAAAAGAAAAGAAAAGTCAGATGGGCTGGGTGCAGTGTCTTAACGCCTGTAATCCCAGTACTTTGAAAGGCCAAGGCACACAGAGGTCAGGAGTTCGAGACCAACCTGGCCAACATGGTAAAACCACGTCTCCACTAAAAATACAAAAAAAAAAATTAGCCGGGCATCGTGGGGTGTGCCTGTAATCCCAGCTACTCAGGAGGCTGAGGCAGGAGAATTGCTTGAACCCAGGAGGCCGAGGTTGCAGTGAGCCAAGATCGCACCATTGCACTTCAGCCTGGGCAACAAGAGCGAAACTGTCTCAAAAAAAAGAGAAAGAAAAGTCAGATGGTCTGGTGGGGTAAGACGGGTGGAGTAAGGGATCTCCTTGCTTCTAAGGGTTAGTGTAGGAAAGTTCCAGAATGTTGGGGTCCTCTGTTCTGCATGGATAATTGCCCTGTCAGTCCAGGTGAGTGACTTCCTCCCCAGTGCCCCCATTTCAGTCTGGGGTGAATTTAGGAGAATTCTAAACACGTTCACCATGAGCTTCTCACCAGCTCCGTGGCATTTGGGACAGAAGAACTCGCACACCTTTTTATGCACCACAGTGAGTTGCATTTGTCTTCAAGAACTCTTCATTCTATCTTAATTTAATTTAATTTAATTTTTTGAGACACAATCTTGCTATGTCACCCAGGCTGGAGTGCAGTGGCATGATCTCAGCTCACTGCAACCTCTGCCTCCCGGGCTCAAAAGATCCTCTCTCCTTAGCCTTCCAAGTAGCTGGGATTAGAGCTACACCACACCCAGCTAAATTGGTTTTTTCTTTGTTTGTTTCACCATGGGTTTTGCCATGTTGCCCAGGCTGGTCTCAAGCTACTAGGCTCAAGCGATCCACCCACCTCAGCCTCCCAAAATGTTGGGATTATAAGTGCCCAGACTCCCATCACTCTATTTTTTTTTTTTTAAAAAAGGTTCTAAGCTAAGGCATACAGCAGTACTCATGGTTTTTATTTACCCCTTAGCATTATACATTTATTTTAAATGGATAACTAATTTCTTTCAAACCCAGTTTTCATATCTTTTGGAGTAGCAGTTTCATAACAAAAGCATTTATCAGTTTGGAGGCCAAGGCAAGAGGATTGCTTGAGTCCAGGAGTTCTAGACCAGCCTGCACCATACAGTGAGACCTTGTCTCTACCAAAAAATCAAAAAACTAGCCAGGTGTGGTGGCGTGCGCCTGTAGTCCTAGGTACTCAGGAGGCCAAGGCAGGAGGATTGCTTGAGCTAGGGAGGTCGAGGCTGAAGTGAGCTGTGTTCACACCACTGCACTGCAACCTCGGCAAGAGGGTGAGACTTTGTGTCACACACGCACACAAAAAACCCTAAAAGCATTTATTTATCTGATGAATATTCCAGTCATTAGTAAATGATTGCCTCTACTTGGTACTCTGAAGGAATTGGTAAATCTTTAAGTACTTGAAACTTTAACAATCTAAATAAAAATCAGAAATATTTCAGACTTCTTTTCAAATGCAAATCTTACCTACCACCCACTCCACAAACTTCCTCAGTACAGCTCTTGACGTTTTAATATAGAGAACATATGTTGTTTTCAACCTTAGATTTCTCCAACTATTTTCTACAAGAGAAATATTATGACGATTAACATTATAAAATGTTTTTCTTCTATACAGGTAAGAGAGTTTTCTAGTATTAATGTCCCATGGAGTTCCCCCTAAATGTCACAAATCATTTGGGAAATACTTAAGAAGTAGATTTGTATATGTAGCTCTCACATACACACCTCGTTACATAGAAACCTGATACATGAAATTCACTATTACAGAATTTAGAAACTAGCAAACTAACTCAATTACACTTTATCCCAAAGCTTCTTTTATATAATTTTCAAGTTACATTCAGTCCTATATTCCAGTAACATGCCCCACCCTCTTGCTTCATTTACTGAAATAATTAGGCTCAACCTCTTTGGTATTTCTGCATTTTCTCTGGTTTAGAGGGGCCTGGTGATTCTAACACAGTGCCTTCTTATTGTTCTGTATAACAAGCTCTGAGTGATCAAAAGGAGGTGCACATTTGCTCCCAATGGAAAATAATGAAGTGTCAATTTGTTAGAAACAGATGCCTCTTCAATCCAATGTGACTGCTCAGTTAAGAAACTTTTTTGCTTGCTGAGAAAGGGAGGAAAGCAAAGCAAAAGAGTCATTAGGTCATTTAATGAGTTGAATTATCAAATGTGATTTTAATACACATACATCCAGTTGTATAATGAAATGATATAGGCTTTAATACATACAAATCCATGTTAGAGAAAAGTTCAGGAGTGCAGCTGTTCTAAAGGGGCCTTGCACCTGCAATCCATCAGATGCTGCAGACTTTGAAGTTTTCTTCTGGTATAACTTTCAAGTTAATCACTCCTCCCTCTCTGCTACGTTGGTCTTTGTATAAATTTCTATTTATGACTTTACTGTTGTGTTTGTTTTCTTGTCTATCTCCTCTGCTGGACTGTAAGGTACTTGAGGGAAGGACCTGTGACTTATTGATCTTTGCACCTCCTGGCACAAACTGGCATTCAGCAAGCACATATCAAACACCATGTACCAGTGACCTATCTGCTGTGCAATAAAAATTGGCGAGTGTTTATTGCTGCCCTTGATGCTACTGTGTCATCATCCTTTTCAACTTAATTTTTACCAGCCCATGTCTGAGTTTGTCAGTACATGTATCAGACCTTATCCTTTTGCAGAGATGCCTTGATGGCCTGAATGCCCATTGCCAGAGATATGAAAAAAAAGGCAGAGCAGACACATATGATCCAGGAAAGAGTGTGTGGCTGCAGGTGACCCCAGAGCCTTGTTGGAGGACAGCAATTTGAAAGCCTTGAATCTACCAGTCCTCATAACATCTCTGGATTGATAATGTCCTGAGGCAGAGCAAGAGGATTCTAGAGCTTTGGGGACTAGCCTTTGTGTCCGCAGCCCCACATGCACGTTTCTTCCTGACCTCTGACTCACGCTCTACAGTTGAGCATATTGACACCTTCCATGTCCCCCATTTCTTCACCTGTACGATGGGAATGGTGGTCATAGATGTCCCTGACATACTGAGGTGGGGACAAGACTTAAGACAATTTTGTTAAGTACTGAGTGCTCCAAAAAAAAAAAAAATTGAAGAGACCAAAGTGAAAGTGAACACAATAGTAAATCCTTTGTTTTTCCTTTTTCTTTTTTTTTTTTAAGACAGATTCTCCCTCTGTCACCCAGGCTGGAGTGTAGTGGCACGATCTCGGCTCACTGCAACCTCCACCTGCTTGAGGTCAAGCGATTCTCCTGCCTCAGCCTCTCAAGTAGCTGGGACTACAGGTGTACACCACCATGACCCGCTAATTTTTGTAATTTCAGTAGAGATGGGGTTTCACCATATTGCGCAGGCTGGTCTCAAACTCCTGGCCTCAGGTGATCCACCCGCCTTGGCCTCCCAAAGTGCTGGGATCACAGGCCTGAGCCACCACACCCGGCCTTAAATCCTTTCTTTCTCCCAAGAGAAAACTTCAAGAAAATCCTCATCTTTGTTTCAGCCACTCACCTGTTTTAAGGCTTCACTATCTAAGTTCCCTTTAAGAGCCCCCAGAGAACATTCAGAAATGCACTGCTCCCCATAATGGGAAAGCTGCACAACAGAAGGACTAGGTGGAGGAAGAATATAGAGGTCTAAACCAACTCCTTGTTTTTAATAGAACTCAATTGGGAGTGATAAAGCTTATATGATTTGCCAAAGATCATGTGACTAATTAGTGATGCCCTGGGGTGAATCCTGTGATATCATACTTCTTAGAATTATTCACAGGAACCTTCCCCGTACTTCCACTAGGGTAGCAAACTGAGGTAACCTTTCTGTAAAGCAATTTAGGCAATATTCTTCAACAACCTTAAATATATGCATATAATTTGACCCAGAAATTCTACTTCTAGGAACTTGCCATAAGAAAGTAATCAGAGGGGCCAGGCGTGGTGGCTCACACCTCTAATCCCAGAACTTTGGGAGGCTGAGGTGGGCGGATACCTGAGGTCAGGAGTTCAAGACCAGCCTGGCCAACGTGGTGAAACCCCGTCTCTACTAAAAATATGAAAATTAGCTGGGCATGATGGCTTATGCCTGTAATCCCAGCTACTCAGGAGGCTGAGGCAGGAGAATTGCTTGAGCCCAGGAGGTGGAGGTTGTGGTGAGCCGAGATCACAGCCCTGCACTCCAGCCTAAGCAACAGAGCAAGACTCTGTCTCATTAAAAAAAAAAGGAATCAGAGAAACACACTATGATTTAGTCATGAAGATGTTCACAGCAGGGTAATTTATAGTAAGAAAAACTGGGAAGCAACATCTATGCATAATAGGAATGGACTGGTTAAATAATTAATGGTACTTATGCACAAGAAAAACTATAGAAGTACAGAAAACTGCAGTGTAAAAGATTGTTATTAGCAGCCTAGGTTAAAAAAAGGGCGGGGTGCAGTGGGAAGGTGGCAAAACAATGTGTAGAGAGGCCCCAAATTACATAAAAAATCTAAAGAGATGTGAAGAACCGCCCGGATGAGGTTAAGTCAGGGTCAGAGAAGCTAAGGCAGATGATGTCATAGATATGTCATCTTTTGCTGAAATCTTCATGGTGTATGTTTTCAGGGATTTTAAAGACCTATAACTTAACATGCACTAGTCTGTTATATGTACTTTAGCTTAAAGTCACCAACGGGAAGAAGATGTTAACAGCATGAATGGTAAAGGGGACAGAGCAGAGCTCAGGAATAAGGATTGGGGAACAGAATGGGAGCGGTCACAAAAGTGTAGCTCAAGATGAGAATCCAGATAGAGATAAGGGTGCAATTGGGTGGAGCTCTGAAGATGAACAGGAGATAACGTCTGATAAACTCTGACCTAGCTGGCTTCATGACGAGACATCTGAAAGATAACAGGGGCAGGCCATGATGAGAAAGTATATCCAGGATTAGCAAGAGAGGTGAAGGTAAGGAGATGCCACGGCAGAGTAATTACTGGCAATTTTGTTGATTGGAAGAAGGCATTCTTTGCCAAGGATTCTAAATGTCACAGCATGGAATCACAATTATGACAATTTTATATGTGTGACAATGCAATAATAAAATGAATAATGCTTCACCAATGAATGATGTTCTAGAAGGTATGGGATATTATCTGCCATCACTCATCTTCCTCCTTTTCTTATTTAGCATCATCATGAAAAAAAAAAGGGGGGGGCTATGGAGTCACAAGCCTGGTTTTAGACTCCAGTTTTGCCAAATTTTTCCTGAATATCATGAGACTCATTTTTCTCATCACTAAATGGGGATATTAGTAACCTGCTGCACAGGATGTTTGTAAGAACAAAGCGAGTTCAGCTGGGTGCAGTGACTCACACTTGCAGTCCTAGCACTTTGGGAGGCCAAGGCAGGAGGCTGCAGTGAGCCGAGATCCTGCCACTGCACTCCAGCCTAGGCAACAGAGCAACACTCCGTCTAAAAAAAAAAAAAGAACAAAGCGAGTTTATATGTGTAAAGAGCCTAGTACATAATATGCTCTCAAGAAGTGTTTGCTTTTTCTTTTTTTTTTTTTTTTGAGATGGAGTTTCACTCTTGTTGCCCAGGCTGGAGTGCAATGGCATGATCTCGGCTCACTGTAACCTCTGCCTCCCGGGTTCAAGCGATTCTCCTGCCTCAGCCTCCCGAGTAGCTGGGATTACAGGCATGCGTCACCATGCCTAGCTAATTTTGTAGTTTTTAGTAGAGACAGGGTTTCTCCATGTTGGCCAGGCTGGTCTCGAACTCCTGACCTCAGGTGATCCACCTGCCTCGGCCTCCCAAAGTGCTGGGATTATAGGCATGAGCCACTGCACCCAGCCTAATTTTGTATTTTTAGTAGAGATGGGGTTTCTCCATGTTGGTCAGGCTGGTCTTGAACTCCTGACCTCAAGTGATCCGCCCTCCTCAGCCTCCCAAAGTGCTGGGATTATAGGCGTGAGCCACCACGCCCAGCCCATGTGTTTGCTTTTTCTAACCCCAGCTCTCTATGCCAGTATCTGGCAATACTGAGAAAAGAAAATAGAGTCTAGCAAAGAAAAAGATTAAGGCCACCAAGCATATTCTATCTCTCCCTGGGTTTTATGGTCACCCTGGTTTTGATTCAAATGTACTTCAATCTTGGCTGATTTCTTTCCACCTGGCAAAGGCTGCCTAGCGCCTCATACAATACACACTTGCTCTGCCACTCCAAATGGATCTGTTGCTTTAACTTAAGGTCTTGCTTTCAGAGTGGAGCCAGGAAACTAATTGTGTATATAGGAAATATTTGTGATTTCCTAACACTTCCACTTTCTGATTCTAAAAAATGTGCACCTCACGTCAGTGATCACAACCCACTGATCACCCCTCACCAATTTCTCACTATCCTAGGTACACACCGCTCACCCTACAGCATCCCAGAATGGCCCCAGCATTTACCCAAACTCTCAGGATCAGTGCCAGCCACACCACACACTGGCTACGTTTTTAGCATCGGTGTGTCAAGGCCTCTTGGACTGTGCTCCCAATTCGCTTCTTTGAAATGTCAACCAGTATTAGAAACATGGATTCCGGCCAGGCGCGGTGGCTCACACCTGTAATCCTAATACTTTGGGAGGCTGAGGCAAGAGGATTGCTTGAGGCCAGGAGTTTGAGACCAGCCTGGCCAACATGGCCAAAAACCCCGTCTCTACTAAAAAATACAAAAATTAGCTGGTCGTATTGGCATACCCCTGTAGTCCTAGCTACTCGGGAGGCTGAGACATGAGAATTGCCTGAACCTGGGAGGCTAAGGTTGCAGTGAGCTGAGATCACACCAATGCACTCCAGCCTGGGCAACAGATTGAGACTCTGTCTCAAAAAAAAAAAGAAAAGAAAAAAGAAATAGATTCCCAGATCTCCAGGTTAGAGGATGACTTGGCCAAAAGATTCTACTAGAAAAGTACTCCATTCTATTTTCTAAATTCTGACTACTAATGAGTTGAAATCAGTTCGTGCATCATTTCCATTCTCTCAAATCACTCAAAAGGTGCCTAAAATTTCTTTTTTTTTCATATGCTCCAAGGTCTGTAATAGACGCACAATAAATGGGATTATTATTTGTTTGCATAGACTGTTGTTAGAGGTATGTATTCTACAAGCAAAAAATTTCAATAATAAAATGACTATTACTTACCAACTTTAAATTCAAAATATATCCTAGTGGCCAGGTGCAGTGGCTCACGCCTGTAATCCCAGCACTTTGGGAGGCTGAGGTGGGAGGATCACTTGAGCACAGGAGTTTGAGACCAGCCTGGGCAACATAGACAGACCCTATCTCTACAAAATAAAAAGTGAAAACTGCACATGTACCCTAAAACTTAGAGTATAATAAAAAAAAAACATTAAAAATAAAAAAAAAGTGAAAACTGAAAATAAAAAATTTAAAATTAAAAAAACAGCTATCCCAGAATAATTTCTAGAAGGCAAATCAAAGCAGACAAGACATAATGGCCAATATCAAAAGCAAAACAAAGTCAAGGATAGGGAACTTCATTACCTGTACCTTCCCTTTTTATATTGGGACATATTTTCATTCAAGAAATTTTATCAGACTGGCCGGGCGCAGTGGCTCATGCCTGTAATCCCAGCACTTTGGGAGGCTGAGGTGGACAGATCACCTGAAGTCAGGAGTTCGAGACCAGCCTGGCCAACATGGTGAAACCCCATCTCTACTAAAAATACAAAAATTAGCCAGGCGTGGTGGTGCATACCTGTAATCCCAGCTATTCAGGAGGCTAAGGCAGGAGAATTGCTTGAACCTGGGAGGCGGAGGTTGCAGGGAGCCAAGATCATCATGCCGTTGTACTCCAGCCTGGGCAACAAGAGTGAAACTCCATTTCAAAAAAGAAAAAAAATTGTATCAGACAGATAAATGACAGGTGGGGCTGCATCATTCAATAGTGAAGACTAATTCTTCTTGTAGAAAAAAGGCAGCAGCCCAGACACCTCTCCAAGTAGTAAGGGAACCTTAGCAGAAGGGCTTTAGCTCACAAAATTTACTCCAGAGATCAGTATTTTATAATTTTATTAGTGTTATTACTAAATTAATATTTCCATATATGGATACCAGTTTATATTTTCAAATTACTTTCATAGCCAGCATGTCATCAGACAGATCATCAAAAAAAGAAACAAAAGCAGGTATTATTAACACCATATTTCACATTAGACTCCTCAGGCCTAAAGAAGTTAGATAACATGCCTAAAATTAGAGCTTAAAAATTCATTGTTACTCTTCATGGAATCAATGTGGTTTTATTTCCGAACCTAAAACAGTGGGTTCCTTGAAGAGGGGCACTGGTTCCAAATTTCTCCAGGTGTCATAGGCTAAAATCTGTACCCCCATCTCTCCCTCAACTAATTCCAAAATGATTTGTTGAAGCCCTAACCCCCAGTACCTCAGAATGTGACTATATTTGGAGATCGGGCCTTTATAGAGGTAATTAAGGTAAACAGATCATACGGTGGGCTCTAACCCAATATGGTTGGTGTCCTCATAAGAAGCGGGGATGAGGCCACAGACACACACAGAGGGAAGACCACGTGAGAACACAGGAAGCAGATGGCCATCTACAAGCCAAGAGGACAGGTCTCAGGAGAAACCAATCCTGCCTTCACCTGGATCTCAGACTTGTAGACTCCAGAGCTGTGAGGAAATAAGTTTCTGCTGTTTAAGCCACTCTGTCCATGGTATGTTGTCATGTCAGCCCAGCTAACTACATGCTGGGTACTCTTGATTCCTAGCTCTCTGTGGTTGTAAAAATTCTCATTGGTAGGTCCCAAGAGTTACAGAATCATCAGCTAGCGCCTTGAAGCCCTATGCACCCTTGTGTTGTGATACTGGTGGTCTCCAAATAGATAGAAAGTCAATGACACTTACCTGTCTGCTGTAGTCAGTGCTGGGTGTGAGCCCACTCATGGCCTCTAACTTCACCCAATCTCCCTCGAATTTCAGCTTCACCTACCAGCTGAAAGACCAAGCAGGTCTCACTGAGACACTGGGATGGCTTCTTACAAGAGACCGCACACCTCTGAAACATGTCCATAAGGGCAACTCTATGTGAGGGATAGAGTGACAGAAAAAGAACATCCTAATCTATCATTTTTTCAATAGAGCAGTTATACCCCAAGCAGAATCAAGGCTTTAGGATCACCTAAAACACATGATTTAAGATGAATAGTCCTTGCATTCTGGTGAGGAGAAAGCTGTGTTTGGTTTGAGCACATGTTCACTTCCCGGTAGATATACATTTAGGTGCTGGGTCTTCCAGCCATCTGGAGTGACCACATTTTGAGATGAATGTATTTCCTCCTAGGATCTGACTGTCAGCCATACACCTCAGCCTTCCATGGTAATCAATTTAAATGTGGAGAAGGACATGCAGGAAGCAGATAATGGCTTACTAGGGACACATGGTCCCAACTAAACCATGGAACAAACACAAGGGAATATGATCCCAAGGAAGCAGTCAGGCTCCCTGGACATTATTCCATAATTATTCCACGTTTTCCCAAACCCAGTGGATGCAACACACTCAGACTCATGTCTTCCAAGAGAACATTTCCTAGAGCCTTCTTTTCTTCATAATTTTTCCTTCAGTCTTTCAAGGGAGCATCTTCAAGGAGTCAACAGCTGCTTACTGAGCCCCTGCAATTGGTGTGGCACAACCCCTCCTCCTTCTTAGGGGCTTACAATCTAACTGTAAAGAAATATTCCACAGACCTGAGATGTTTCAGAATTAGGCCTTGTGTAATGCAAGTTACCTGTATGATGTACCATGTGTCTATCTATAACAGACTGTATGTCCATGAGGACCCAGGTATACATCTGTATTTGCTCACGCTTTTGTTCCCAGTACTTAAAACAATAACTTGCCCTTCCTAGCTAATCATAAATACAATTGAATAAAGTATATATAATAAAATGTAACTGAAGTGCAAGGAAAGAAAACATCAATGAAGTTCAGAGTTATGGAGGTGACTTTATGAAGGAAATGAGCTGAGTATCAGAAAATCAGAGGTCTTCTCACATGAAGGCATGAACAATGGAAAAGACGGACAAGACATGAGGGGAAGTTCGAAATTCTTTGTGTGTGTGTGTGTGTGTGTGTGTGTGTGTGTATGTGTGTAGAGATGGGGTCTCACTACATTGCCCAGGCTAATCTCAAACTCCTGAGCTCCAGCAATCCTCCCACCCTGGTTTCCCAAAGTGCTGGTGAGAGGTGATAGCGTGCTGGCAGTCCTCAGAGCCCTCGCTTGCTCTCGGCACCTCCCCTGCCTGGGCTCCCACTTTGGCGGCATTGGAGGAGCCCTTCAGCCCCCGCACTGCACTGTGGGAGCCACTTTCTGGGCTGGCCAAGGCTGGAACCCACTCCCTCAGCTTGCAGGGAGGTGTGGAGGGAGAGGCGCGAGCGGGAACTGGAGCTGCGTGCGGTGCTTGCGGGCCAGCTGGAGTTCCGGGTGGACGTGTGCTTGGCGGGCCCCGCACTCGGAGCAGCCGGCCAGCCCTGCTGGCCCCGGGCAATGAGGGACTTAGCACCCGGGCCAGCGGCTGTGGAGGGTGCACTGGGTCCCCCAGCAGTGCCGGCCCACCGGTGCTGCACTCGATTTCTCACCGAGCCTTAGCTGCCTTCCCGCGGGGCAGGGCTCGGGACCTGCAGCCCGCCATGCCTGAGCCTCCCACCCCCTCCATGGGCTCCAGTTGCGCCCGAGCCTCCCCTACGAGCACCACCCCCTGCTCCACGGCTCCCAGTCCCATCTACCACCCAAGGGCTGAGGAATGCGAGCGCACGGCGCATGACTGGCAGGCAGCTCCACCTGCAGCCCCGGTGCGGGATCCACTAGGGGAAGCCAGCTGGGCTCCTGACTCTGGTGGGGACGTGGAGAGTCTTTATATCTAGCTCAGGGATTGTAAACACACCAATCAGCACCCTGTGTCTAGCTCGAGGTTTGTGAGTGCACCAATCGACACTCTGTATCTAGCTGCTCTAGTGGGGCCTTGGAGAACCTGTGTGTCCAAACTCTGTATCTAACTAATCTGATGGGGACGTGGAGAACCTTTGTATCTAGCTCAGGGATTGTAAACGCACCAATCAGCGCCCTGACAAAACAGACCACTCGGCTCTACCAATCAGCAGGATGTGGGTGGGGCCAGATAAGAGAATAAAAGCACGCTGCCCGAGCCAGCATGGGCAACCCGCTCGGGTACCTTTCCACACTGTGGAAGGTTTGTTTTTTCGCTCTTTGCAATAAATCTTGCTACTGCTTACTCTTTGGTTCCATGCTGTATTTATGAGCTGTAACACTCACCGCAAAGATATGCAGCTTCACTCCTGAGCCCAGCGAAACCACGAACCCACCAGCAGAAAAGAACGACTCCAGACGCGCTCCCTTAAGAGCTGTAACACTCACCGTGAAAGTCTACAGCTTCACTCCGGAGCCAGCGAGACCACGAACCCACCCAAAGGAAAAAACTCCAAACACATCTTAACATCAGAAGGGATAGACTCCAGACGTGCCACCTTAAGAGCTGTAACACTCACCGCGAGGGTCAGCGGCTTCATTCTTGAAGTCAGTGAGACCAAGAAGCCACCAATTCCAGACCGACTGGGATTTCAGGCGTGAATCACTGCACCCAGCCAAAGTCCGCAATTCTTAAACTCACATCGACTCCCAAGTCTACTCGGTCCACTAGGGTTTTTTTCACTGCCCATCAGCCCCAAAAGATGTTACTCTTGCAGGGGTCGCTCAGAGTCCGTGATGCATCTGGGTATTCTCCCCCTCACTCACACTCTCAACTCCTTTTTTTCTCTCCATCTTATGTAGAACTCAGCTCCCAAATCTGGGTAAACCACAGCTGTCATCTGTTCAGCCTCTGCCTCCAGCGGAACACCACCAGAGGAAACCATACAATTGTACTTACAGGTTTTGTTTTAAATGTAGATTTTATTTTAAATCTACAAACAAAAATCTCAAGTGGCTTTTTCCAAAGCTGCCAAACGCTAGCGGTTCTGTCAATTCAGTGTCTCAACTTCCAGAATGACGATTTCATGCCTTTCTTTCCCCAAAACTCTTAAGACTCCTTCCTCCCTCTCTTTGATGACACTGATTTCTTAGAAGAAAAAAAGAGAAACAATAAAGGATTCATCCTCCTTTCACACAAGCCAATTCTACCGACGTTTCTTCCAGCCCTAGCTAACTACAGGCCAGGTACTCTTGATTCCTAGTTCTCTGTGGGTGTAAAAATTCTCATTGGTAGATTCCAAGAGTTACTTTCTGCAACCCTAACTCTTTTTCCCATTCCCTCCTAAATCTGTTCACTTTTGCTCTAAAGCTCACACCCCCTAGCCTGTTTACAGGCTCAGCAACTCCTATTATCTCCTTCTTCCGATTCACCTATTCTCCCCTTTCTTCTGAGTTACTTCTATTACTTCTATCTATATACAAAAATGTTTTCATAATTCCCCTATTTGAAAAATCCACCCTTGACCCTACATCCCCATTTTTTCTCCCCTTCTCAGCAAAACTTGAAAGAACTATTGCTACTTGCTGTCTCCACTTCTTTACTTTTTTAATTCATTTCATTCAGAATTTCATCCCCACTGTTCAACTGCAGCTGCTCATGTTAGGGTCATGATGTAGAATCTAGTATTCAATTATCTGTCCTCAGTTTATTCCCAGCAGGATTTGACACTTGTTCCTCTTTGAAACATTATGGTGGGCAGGACAACATGCCCTTCTGAGTTTCCTCCTATTTCACGGGCCATTCCTTCTCAATTTTCCCTGTTAGCATCTCATTCTTAACATCATCCATTAAATATTGGAGTGTCTCTGAGCTCAGTCTCTTCCTCAGGGCAAGCACCTCCCTCCCCATGTGATGTCTTCTCGATCAATGGCTTTAAATACCATCTACACGCTGGTAACTCCCAAAGTTTATTTCCAGCTCCGATCTTTATCTTAAATTCCAGACAGCTGTATCTTTTTAATATTCTATATAGTCACTTAAAACTATAAAAACAGAGCTCTTAATTTTCCAATCTAAACCGTCTCCTCTCCCGATCATCTTCATCTCAGAAAATTGCCCCATAAATCATCCAGTTGCTCAAAATACAAACCTAGGAGTCATCCTTGACCCCTCTCTTTCTGTCCTACTGGGCATCCAGTCCACGATTATTGAGTCCTTTCTCGATCTCTTAAAACACATACTGAGCCCTCCCTACCACCTTTCCCCGCTTCCACTGCCATCTCCATACTGCAGACCACCATCAGCTTACACTTGTACTCTACAACAGCCAAGCCACTGGTCTTCCTACAGCCTTCTTTCTCCACTACAGAATATTCTCCAAGAGCAGCCAGGGTATTCTTAAACTGTAAGTCAGCTTGCCTTGCTCTCCTGCTTAATTCCTACCAATAGCTTCCCATTGCACTTAGAATAAAATATGAAATCCTTATTGTAGCCTACAAGTCCCTGGTGATCTAGCTACTGGCTGCTTCTCCTCATCCTACACTTCTGCTCCTTGACCCCTCCTCTCCACCCACCCCAATCTTCATGCTGTTCAAAGAGCAATGCTTGTTCTTTTCCACCTCTTCCTGCAATGCTTTCCACCGCAAACTCCCATCACGGCCACCAGTTCAGGTCTCTGCTCAGATGTGACCTCCACAGAGTGCTTCCCCTGTCCACCAAACGGGAAATAAAAATACCTCCAGGCCCTGGTCACTGCCATATCCTGCCTCCCTTTCTTCCCAGCATTCATCACTTTATGAAACTGTATTATTTACTAGTTTGTTTATGATTTGTTTGTCTTCCCTTCTAGAATATGCATTTAATAGAGGAAGAAAACTTTGCTTGGCTTCTTTGTCACTGTAAAAACAAATCCAAGATGAGACATTTAGAAAATACTGCAGCCGGGCATGGTGGCTCACACCTGTAATCCCAGCAGTTTGGGAGGCCGAGGCAGGCGGATCATGAGGTCAAGAGTTCAAGATCAGCCTGACCAATATGGTGAAACCCCGTCTCTAATAAAAAAAAAAATACAAAAATTAGCTGGGCGTGGTGGCGTGTGCTTGTAGTCCTAGCTACTCGGGAGGCTGAGGCAGGAGAATTGCTTGAATCTGGGAGGCAGAGGTTGCAGTGAGCAGACCTGGGTGACAGAGCGAGACTTGGTCTCAAAAAAAAAAAAAAAAAAAGAGAAATTAAAAAGAAAGAAAATATTGCTAAGGAAGGCTGGGCGCAATGGCTCACGCCTGTAATTCCAGCACTTTGGGAGGCCAAGGCAGGTGGATCACCTGAGGTCAGGAGTTCGAGACCAGCCTGATCAACAAGGTGAAACCCTGTCTCTACTAAAAATATAAAAATTAGCTAGGTATGGTGGCAGGTGCCTGTAGTGCCAGCAACACAGGAGGCTGAGACAGGAGAATTGCTTGAACCTGGGAAGCGGAGGTTGTAGTGAGCTGAGATCACGCCACTGCACTCCAGCATGGGTGACAGAGTGAAACTCTGTCTCAAAAAAAAAAAAAATATATTGCTAAGGAAAGGGAGGAAGGGCAGGAAGGAGGAAGACAAGACAGAAACGGGAGAGGGAAGGGAATTGTGCTTTTTTGTATCAGATCATTTCCACGAATCCATCAAACCAAAATCTCCACATTAATAGAAGCACTTTCATGTTACCAATTTTGGAAAACAGCTGTTGTGAGCCTGAGCCTGAAGTCAGTAGACTTTCTGTCCTGTCCCACAGTCTAGCACACACTCTGATTGAGCACTCTTGAAATTAAAGTGTGTGGTTGCCAGATCTGGATTCCCATCAACAGGTGCATTCTTTGAATGGATTCAGGCTATCTGTTGCTAAAAATATCTGTCGTGGAGAACAGATACCCTAATAGAATTGCCGTGACCACCCTGAAGCATTGAAGAATGTGAACTCCTGGAGGTCAGGATATCCAACCCACTATTACCTGCAAAATAAACTTCAAACATAGACGAAGGAAGTTCCTTGTTTATATGAGACACTGTGCACAGCAGGTAGTAACAATATTGCCCCTAGGACCATATTCATGGAGACATTAAAGCAGGTAAAACTTAGGGTGAGAAGAGGTTGCTGGGCACCGATGCACTTCACTTCCTGATCCACAGCTTTTACTGTCAGCCCCAAACTAAGAACACTCCATAGTTTCCACTTGTCCCAGCCTGACACTCACCTTTCCCTGACCCTTCCCTAGGAAGATCCTCCTTGCCATCTCCTACCTGCCCCTTAGACAGGCTGCCCTCCTTACAGTTCTCTGCAAAAATATACTTATTCCCCACTTTAAACTGTTCATCAAACTTTTCTCTCTGTCAGTCTCTTTGGGCTGCTAAAACAAAATAATTTAGAGTGGGTCATTTATAAAGAGTGGAAATGTATTGCTCCAAGTTGGAGAGGCTGGGAAGTCCAGGATCAAGGTGCAGCAGTTTCTGGCGTCTGGGGAGGGCCTCTTCCTCATAGCTGGTGCCTCCTTCCTGCACCTTCACATGGTGGAAGCGGCAAACAGTCTCCCTCAGATGTCTTTTACAAAAGCACTAATCCCATTCATGATGGTTGCGTCTTCATGACCTAATCACCTCCCGAAGCCCCATCCTCTTTAATACCACCATATTGCAGATCATGCTTCCACACATGAATTCTGGGGGGACACATTCAGACCATAGCATCTTCTCCTTTTGTTCCAGCTTAAAGGATACCCACTGTGAGGAATTGTTGTTGTTTTCAATTTTTTTATAGTTATTATTATTATTATTATTTAATTATTTTATTTTCATTATTTTTTAAACTTTTTGTAGAGACGGGCTCTCACCACGTTGGCTGGGCTGGTCTTGAATTCCTGGGCTCAAGTGATCCTCCCACCTCAGCCTCTCAAAGTGCTGGGATTACAGGTGTGAGCCACCATGCCCACACTATTTTCATAATTTTTAAAAAAATGTATTTTTAGAGACAAGGTCTTGCTCTGTTGCCCAGGCTAGAGTTCAGTGGCACAATCATAGCTCACTGCAGCCTTGAACTCTTGGGCTCAAGTGGCTAAACGCCTCAGCCTTCCACATAGCTGGGACTACAGGCACATGCCACCATGCCTGGCTAATTTTTAAAAATTCTTTGTAGAGGCAGGGCTTTTCTGTGTTGCCCAGGTTGGTCTTGAACTCCTGACCTCAAGCAATCCTTCCACTTCAGCCTCCTAAATTCCTGGGATTACAGGCATGAGCCACCACACCTGACCTATGTTAATAGCAATTAAAAACTACTACTTCTCCAGTGGAGTCTGTCTTAGTCCATTTTCTTTTTGTTATTTTTTTTCTCCACACCATGATTCTGTAATAGTTTATTTTCTGTTGTTTATAACAGAATACTTGAAACTGAATGATTTAAAAAGAAAAGGTATTTATTTTGTACAGTTCTGGAGGCTGGGAATTCCAAGGCTGAGGGGCCACGTTTAATGAGAGCCTCCTGCTGGTGAGGACTCTGCAGAGTCCTGAGGTGGTGCAGGGTGTCACATCAGAGGAGCTGAGTAGGCCAGCTCAGGACTCTCTTCCTCTTTTTACAAAGCCACCAGTTCCAGTCCCATAATAACCCATCAATCCACGGACTGGTTAATCCATGAATCCATGAATGGATTAATCCGTTCATGGAGGCAAAGCCCTCAAGACCTAATCACCTCCAAAAGGCCCCACGTCTCAATACTGCCACATTGGGAGTTAAGTTTCAACATGAGCTTTGGAGGGGACATTCAAGACACGCAGGGCCCCACACCTTCCCCCTACCTGTTCCCCTGCCTCCTACCTTCTCCGGATGCCTAAATTGATGTCATGGGCCTCAAGCCTCCCACAGTGTCTGTGGTCCCAGCTACTTGGGAGGCTGAGGCAGAAGAATCGCTTGAACCTGGGAGGCAGAGGTTGCAGTGAGCCGAGATTGTGCCACTGCACTCCAGCCTGGGTGACAGAGTGACACTCTGCGGAAAAAAAAAAAAAAGCAGAAATTTGAGGATATCACTGCAATAATCACTAAAGTCCTCAATATTGATAACAATTTCACTTAGACCTAGTATAGTCTGTCACGATTTTCAAAAGAGATGGCATTGACCCATGTGGCCTATCCCTATCTAGCTAGAGCTCATGCTAATCAAGTGGGAAATTGCCATTCGGAAATTAGCCTGAGCAGGAGAAATCCTCTCCCAAACACCAACATCTTTCCGCAAATGTACACACAGAACTTTCACCCCAGGTTCATCAGTAATGCCCATCAATTTGTTGCATCAACCTGGTTCCACCCTGTACCTGCTCACACATCTAGCAAGCTTGGATTAAGTGTCTGGAAAGTGCTGGAGTCAAGGATTGAAGCAAGAGCTGGTGAGCACAGAGAGGAGAGCGAGCAGTCCAGGGGAGCCAGGGAAAGCCGCACCGAAGGCAAGACTTGGCTGAGTTCTGAAGAATGAATAAGAATCTGTCAGGAGACAGAACAACCTGGACAAACCGAGAGGACATTATGCCCAGTGAAATAAGCCAGGGACACACAGACAGATGCCTGCATGATCTCACTTACATGTGGAATCTAAAAAAGTCAAACTCATAGAAGCAGAGAAAAGAATGATGATTACCAGGGGCTGAGGGTGGAGGAAATGGGAGATGCTGGTCAAAGGGGACAAAGTTTCAGTGATAAGATAAATAAATTCAAGCCGGGCACAGCGGTACGTGCCTGTAGTCCCAGCTACTCAGGAGGCTGAGGCAGAAGGATCCCTTGAGGTCAGGAGTTGGAGTCGAGCCTGGGCAACCAAGTGAGATCCCATCTATGAAAAGAAAGATGAATAAATTCTGGAGACCTAATGCACAGCTGCTGACTAGAGTTAATAATTCTGTACTGTATACTTGAAATTTGCTGGCTGGGCATCATGGCTCACACCTATAATACCAGCACTTTGGGAGGCCAAGGTGGGAGGACCTCTTGAACCCAAGAGCTGGAAGCTGCAGTGAGCTATGATCGTGCCACTGCACTCCAGCCTGGGCAACAGAGTGAGCCCTTGAAGAAAAAAAAAAAAGAAAAGAAAGAAAGAAAAGAAAGGAAGGAAGGAAGGGAGGGAGGAAGGGAGGGAGGGAGGGAAGAGAGAAAGAAAGAAAGATTTGCTGAGAGAGTAAATTTCAAGTGTTCTTACCACACACAAAAAAATTTTAACTAGGTGAGGTGATAGAAATTAAAAACTCACTTGATTGTACGATCATTTCACAATGCACACTATATCAAATCATCACATTATATATGTTAAATTTATACAACTATATTTGTCAATTCTACCTCAATAAAGCTGAAGAAATCAATAACCAATGAAAGAGTTTTAAGTGTTAAACTAAAATGGTGTAGAAGAGGATAGAAAAAATTTTGTTACATTTTTCTCACACATTATTTAATTATTGCAACTAAGATGCTCCAATTATCACTCTTAACTAGTCTTATTTTTTGTGTGTATGTGTGGGGTTTTTTCTGAGACAGGATCTTACTCTGTCTCCCAGGCTGGAGTGCAGTAGTACGATCATATCTCTCTGCAGCCTCCAATTCCCGGGCTCAAGCAACTCTCCTGTCTCGGCCTCCCAAATGGCTGGGATTATAGGTGCAAGTGACTGCACCTGTCCTTACTGTTTTGTTTAAATTACAGCATTTGTGTAACAGAAAAGTAGATCATACAAAATAATATGCAATTTCAAATAAACACCCATTTTTTTTCATGAAATGAAATAAAATTAATGTGTCAGGAAGAGAGTTAAGAGGACCTTGGGCAGGGATGAAAAGCCTGGAATGGTGAGGGGTGACTGCATGGGAAAGGACCGGAAGTACAACTTGCCTGGAGTGTGGGGTACCCGTGCCTGAACCCCACCAGCAAAGCTGCAGAGGTCTGGGAGTGTGAGTCTGTAGGGGAAAATATAATAACCTTATGTGCCATATTCAGGATTTAAGGAGTGGGGACTTGACTTTGTAGGGCTTCAGAAAACCCATGAAGATTTTAAGAATTTCCACTTAAATAAATTACATCATCAACAGATTAGAGAATAGACTTTTCTTAGCCTGTTTGGGCTGCTATAAGAAAATACAGTTGAGCCTTGAACTGTATGGGGGTGTTTGGAGTGCCAACTCCTGTGCAGTAGAAAATCCACGTATAACTTTTGACTCTCCAAAAACTTAACTACTAATAGCCTACTGTTGACCAGAAGCCTTATGTAGTAGTACGTTCTGGCATTGCTATAAAGAAATACCTATAAACAAAAGAGGTTGGCCGGGTGCGTTGGCTCACACCTGTAATGCCAGCACTTTGGGAGGCCGAGGCGGGCAGATCATGAGGTCAGGAGTTCGAGACCAGCCTGACCAACATGATGAAACCCCGTCTCTACTAAAAATACAAAAATTAGCTGGGAGTGGTTGTGCACACCTGTAATCCCATCTACTCAGGAGAATCGCTCGAACCCAGGAGGCAGAGGTTGCAGTGAGCCGAGATCGCACCACTGTACTCCAGCCTGGGCGACAGAGCAAAGCATGGCAGCATCTGTTGGCTTCTAGGTAGGCCTCGGGAAACTTACAATCATGGTGGAAGGTGAAGAGGGAGACAACATGTCACGTGGTCGAGGCAGGAGGAAGAGAGAGAGGGTGAAGGTGCCACATACTTTCACACAATCAGATCTCGTGAGAACCCTATCATGAGAACAGCACTGGGGAGAAGGTGCTAAAGCATTAGAAACCGTCCCCATGATCAAATCACCTCCCACCAGGCCCCACCTCCAACACTGGGGATTCCAACTGAATATGAGATTTGGGTGGGAACACAGATCCAAACCACGTCACCTTACCCATAACATAAAGCTGATTAACAAATAAATAGACCAGTATCTATATAGAATTTATGCATTCATGACATAGCTTTTTCTTAATTTTTTCAGTATTTTTTTTGCCTATATTTGCCATATAAGCTACAGCAGTTTGCAAGTTTTTTCAAATTATTGCAAATCTCTAAAAACTTTTTCAATAAATTTATTGAAAAAAATCTACATATCAGTGGACCCAGGCAGTTCAAACCCATGTCATTCAAGAGTCAACTCTACTATAAGCTAGGTAGCTTATAAACAACAGAAATTTAGTTCTGGAGACTGGGCTGTTCAAGATCAAGGCACCAATAGATTGGTGGCTGGGCGCGGTGGCTCACGCCTATAATCCCAGCATTTTGGGAGGCCAAGGTGCATGAATTACTTCAGGTCAGGAGTTCAAGACCAAACTAGAGAACATGGTGAAACCCCATCTCTACAAAAAAATACAAAAATTACACGGGCCTGGTAGTGGGTGCCTGTAATCCCAGTTACTTGGGAAGCTGAGGTGGGAGAATCACTTGAACCTGGGAGGCGGAGGTTGCAGTGAGCCAAGATAGCACCATTGCACTTCAGCCTGGGTGACTGAGCAAGACTCTGTCTCAAGAAAACAAAGAAAGATTTGGTGTCTGGTGAGGACACACTTCTTGGTTGTCATAGACAGTGCCTTCTCATTGTGCCCTCACATGGTGGAAAGGGCAAGGCAGCTTTCTGAGGACTCTTCTATAAAGGCACCGATCGCATTCATGAGGGCTCTGCCCTTCTGACCTAATCACCTCCCAAGGGCCCCATCTCCTAACACCATCACCTTGGGGGTTAGGATGTCAATGTGCGTATTTCAGCAGGACACACTGAGGCCCACGCAAGGGGAGAGGTTGGTGGAAGGGAGAGGGTGGCTGGACTGGTGCAGTAGCTCAAGGGAAAGGTGAGGAGCTGAACAGAGAGGGGCAATGGAGTGAAGGGTAGGAAGTCAGATTTCAGAAACAAGTCTGAGAGGACTCAGCAAGCACATGCTGGGAATTATCTTCCAGTAAAATCTCTCTGTGACTCATTCGATGAGGAGGCTGAGGGAGGGGATGAATCAGGATGACACTGAGGTTTCTGGTCGGAGAGACTGCACAGGTGGTGACGGCAGTATTCCAAATGGAAGAGGGAGCAGGAGGAAGATCACCTGGTTCAGGGAGGAACATGATGTGCTTGGTTTGGGATGCATCACACTGGAAACGCCCACGGAACCTCAGGAGCAGATGACAGGGAGAGGTCACAACTGAGATCTCAATGTTGGTCAAAGCCACATAAGTGCATTAAATGACCCAAGGACGAAAAGAGAAAGGAATTCCTTGCTCAAGAAACTTCCCAACATAGAAAGGAGACAGAGTAGTATCTTGAGATGGGACAGTACGGGCATGTAGATGATTTTAGGTTTAAGGAGACATGGACATGTTTGTCAGCTCCAAGGAGGGAGCTAAAGGAGAGGAAACAATAGAATATTCAGAAAAGAGGGCTCTCACAGTTAGCATAGGAGGCAGTGGCTGTGGCAAATGAAGCAGAAGGGATTCACGCGCCATGCCCGGGTAGCAGAGAGCTTAGCCTCAGAGAGGAGAGGAACTGCTATTTTCTCAGACACATGGATTAACGAGTTACAGCATGGGAAAACCAGGTTTGAAAGTAGGGACTGGCCGGGCGAGGTGGCTCACACCTGTAATCCCAGCGCTTTGGGAGACTAAGGCAGGTGGATCACCTGAGGCCAGGAGTTCGAGACCAGCCTGGCCAACATGGTGAAACTCCATCTTTACTAAAAATACAAAAATTAGTTGGGCATGGTGGCGTATGCCTGTAATCCCAGCTACTTGGGAGGCTGAGACAGGAGAACCGCTTGAACCCAGGAGGCAGAGGTTGCAGTGAGCCAAGATCACCACTGTACTCCAGCCTGGGCAACAGAGTGAGGCTCCATCTCAAAAAAAAAAAAAAGAAAAGAAAAAAAGAAAAAAGAAAGAAAGAAAGAAAAGAAAAAGAAAAAGAAAGTAGGGACATTGGCCGGGTGCGGTGGCTCACGCCTGTAATCCCAGCACTTTGGGAGGCAGAGGCGGGCGGATCATGAGGTCAGGAGATCGAGACCATCCTGGCTAACACGGTGAAACCCCGTCTCTACTAAAAATACAAAAAATTAGCCGGGCGTGGTGGCGGGCGCCTGTAGTCCCAGCTACTCCGGAGGCTGAGGCAGGAGAATGGCGTGAACCCGGGAGGCGGAGCTTGCAGTGAGCCGAGATCGCGCCACTGCACTCCAGCCTGGGAGACAGAGCGAGACTCCGTCTCAAAAAAAAAAAAAAAAAAAAGTAGGGACATTGAGTGGTTCTCCCAGTGGTCTCTATGGCCTCTGTACATAGGGAGGTGATATAACCTGTTAGGAGTGAGGCCAAGAGTGGAGTGAGGGTATTGGAGAGCTTTTGGAACAGCAGCCCCGGAATAGGTAAAAGAGAAGCCGACTGAAAAGTGGAGATCGGGGAGTTATCAGCCCTGGGGAGAGAACAGCATTTCTTGAGTACCTGTTCTGTGCAGGCAGGATTGTGGCTGATCTGCAAGACGATGGTGACAGTGACGACAATGACTGATGGTGGCCTTGCCTATTTGCCATCTCACTGCCTCTTCCTCCTTTGCCACTGCAAACAAGAAGGTTGGTTGCAGCTGTGACTTGCACTGTGTAGGAGGATAGAGCTGATTCTTTCCCACCTTCCTGCTGTCACATCACGTCTCTGCTTCTCCCTCCTCTGCCCAGCTGCCCTGCTCAGTTCCCATGAATCTGGGGGGATGTGTTACGAGGAAAAAAGACAGAAAACACCCCACCACTTATCGCAGGGAAGATGGGAATTCAGAACCTTTTTGTTTGTTCATTTGTTGTTGTTGAGACGGAGTTTCACTCTTGTCGCCCAGGCTGGAGTGTAATGGCACAATCTCGGCTCCCCGCAACCTCTGCTTCCCGGGTTCAAGTGATTCTCCTGTCTCAGCCTCCCAAGTAGCTGGGATTACAGGGGCCTGCCACCACACCTGGCCAGTTTTTGTATTTTTAGTAGAAACAGGCCACCATGCTGGCCAGGCTGGTCGCAAGCTCCTGACCTCAGGTGATCCACCCTCCTCGGCCTCCCAAAGTGTTGGGATTACAGGCGTGAGCCACCGTGCCCAGCTCCCGTTTGTTTTAAACAGTTAATAATAGTGATTCTTTATCAATCTCAGACTCTGGGCCAGGTATCGTTCTACACACTCTGTGTATTAACTCACTTATTTCTTTTTTTCTTCTTTCTCCTTTTTTTTTTTTTTTTTTGGAGACAAGGTCTCATTCTGTCACCCAGGCTGGAATGCAGTGGCACGATCTCAGTTTACTGCAACCTCCACCTCCCAGACTCAAGCATCCTCTCACCTCAGCCTCCTGAGTAGCTGGGATTATAGGTGCACGCCACCACAGCAGCCTAATTTTTTGTACTGTTAGTAGAGATGGGGTTTCACTATGTTGCCCAGGCTGGTCTTGAACTCTTGAGCTCAAGTCATCCAACCACCTCAGCCTCCCAAAGTGCAGGGATTACAGGCGTGAGCCACAGTGCCTAGCCTAATCCACTTATTTTTTACACCAGCTCCATGAGATGAGGCAGCATAGCTCTCATGAAATAGATTCTGCTGTCATTGAGCCTATTTTACAGATGAAAAAACGAAGGCACAGACTTTCGCCTAAGGCTACACAGCATAGGCTATAAGTAGCAGAGTTGAAATCTAGACTGATTGGCCTCAGCCACTGCTTTTGATCAACACACCATACTGCCCTCCTATAAGAAAGCTGAACTTGGGGAAACCCTCAGCCGTGCTTTTAGAAAAGACTTTAGACATAATCTATTCCAGCCTCCTATATCAAGCAGAATTCCTTCTGCAGTTTGGACAACTCAGGACTTGACAGGCAGCCTGTTTCACTGCTGCCCAGCCCTAACTGGAACAAAACCTGCCAAAAACCTGTTCCTCGTCCTCCCTTCTTTGAGAAGCCCAGACAAAATGTAGCTATCAAGGTGGTGAGCCTCACCACTCTCCTGGAATATGCAAGTCATTATCCACCCTTGCACAAGCAAAAGAAGGGCCAGTTCCTTCTCTTGCTTGGAGCTAAATGGGGATTAAAAAGAAAAAAAAAAAGAGAGAAAACAAGATGACCCCAGACTGAGGCACTTTACATGTGGCCTCATAGGGTACTAGGAAAGGGTGACTCTGTGGCTCTTAGGTGTGCTACACATCCCTGAAGCCACAGAGCATCTGCCTCCCTTAAACCACCCAGAAGGAGCACACTGCTAGGCTCGACCCTTGGGCATTCTAATGTCCAATCAGAAAATGTGTCATTAGGCTGGGCACAGTGGCTCACGCCTGTAATCCCAGGCCGAGGCGGGAGGATTGCTTGAGGCTAGGAGTTCGAGACCAGCCTACGCAACATAGGGAGCCCCCTCTCTACAAAAAATTTAAAAATTAGCCAGTTGTGATGGTGCATGCCTATAGTCCCAACTACTTGGGAGGCTGAGGTGGGAGGATGGCTTGAGCCCGGGAGTTCAAGGTTGCACTGAGCCATGATTGCATCGCTGGACTCCAGCCTGGACAACAGAATGAGATCCTGTCTCAAAAAAAAAAGGAAATAAAGAAAAAGAGAAAGTGGTGCCATTCAACATTTGTTTAGGCTCCTCAACTGACACAAAAATGGACTTTACACTCTAAAGCCTATCTCTCGAGGCAATAATTCACAATTTGCTTCTGAAAGTACAGGGTGAGTCTGGAAATGGCTTCCTCACCGCCTATTAATTAAGCGTAGATCTCTAATCTCTGGTTTTCCTCTGGGCCAGCAGATTGACTCACCGTGCCCTTCCAAGCTCGGCCTTTTGTCAAGTACTTCTAGGCCCCTGTGGGAGCTCAGTGGGTCTGTCCCCATTTCGCTCTATCACCATATGGGCTGCACTCACCTGAGGAGCGAGAGGGCACGTGGCCAGTCAGATGGGGGCAGAGTGTCTCAGGAGTGCGGCCCAGGCTGCAGGCTAAGCAGTCGGCCTCGCTGGCCTGGGGACAGCCGCCCAGGATGACTGTCCAGAAACAACAGCAACCCTTTCAAGAACCTCTGAATCGCGGTTGTAGCTGTCGGCACTTGCTCCTTCACACTCCCGGGTGTGTGTGTATGGGAAAGGGAACAGGCGAGCAGGGACAGGACTGAAAACTCAGGAAACTATAAATAAAAAAGAAAACTTGAGCCAAATCTTTTCACACTAAAGGAAATAAACATATGGAATAAGTTATTGGAACAAGCAGCTGAAGCAAAGGGCATAAATGAGTTCAACAGATATCTGCTTTGTTTTCTAGAAGAGGAAAGGACCAAAGAGAAACTGGATAAGAAAGAGGTAAACAGGAGTGTTCCTCCCTCTTAATTTATTTATTCACTAATTCGACAAAAATTTTGGTGAACACCTACTAGGTACCAGACACTGTGTTAGGTTCCAACGATTCAAAAAACAAATAAAACATGGTCCCTGCTCTTAAATTGCTCACAGACTAGTGTTTTAATTGCCTTAAAGTTTTTGTAGTTTTAGGGTTCTATTAAAATTTTATCACAATAAGTATTTTAAGCATCTCAAGACATGTAGGGCTTTGGAAATAAAACTGATTAATTACCACGTTTTTTGTGCTTTGATGCATCTTTTTCAAACCAAGGCCACTTCCACCCTAGGTTGGAAAAGATACAAAGAGCTAATAGTAGTGGGGGATTCTTTTGTTGGTCACATGCAGTGGGACTTGGGTTTTCTCAGTACGGTGGAAACAGCCCAGACATTGCAGCCAGGAAGTATCCAGGCGTGGTCATTTACAGGCTGTTACACCCTGGCCAGGGTATAATTTTTTAAAATTGGCTGTTGGGAGATAATTCTCCATGGGTCTCTTAAGTTTCTATATATCTTACAAGCAAGGTACTTTGTTCCAAGCTGCCCTTACAAGGATGTTTACATAACAAATAGCTTTGGAAGGTAGAGATAGTGTCTCACTCTGGAGAAAAGGGGAATCAGGCTTACTAAACATTATAAAAGATTCAAGTTCCTTAAGTTTAGTATAATGTGACACACTGAATGTATAGGCATCTACTTAGGTCTATCCACATCACCCTTATGGGACTTGCAGAGGAAAGGGGAACTGGCACAAATACACTGGTGTTCATGTTGCTTGCTGTACCATTCATCATAAAGTCCTTTGTCTCTGACCCAGGAGTTTCATGTCTTCTGCCAGCATCCATTAAACCATGACAGGCTAACTTGTTAACTTACAGGTAGGGTAAAACCTTCAACCCTTCATAATTCTTTACGTTCACCCTCATATGAACATATAATGAGCTCATGTAAAATATTTGTTTAACTAATTAATGAGGGAACAAATAAGATGGCAAAGGTGATTCTAATAGCATTTGAAAATGGGTCAGCCGGGCACGGTGGCTCACACTTGTAATCCCAGCACTTTGGGAGGCCAACACAGGCGGGTCACGAGGTCAGGAGTTTGAGATCAGCCTGGCCAACACAGTGAAACCCCATCTCTACTAAAAATACAAAAATTAGCCAGGCCTGGTGGCGGGAGCCTGTAATCCCAGCTACTCCGGAGGCTGAAGCAGGAGAATCACTTGAACCTGGGAGGCAGAGGTTGCAGTGAGCCAAGATCACGCCATTGCACTCCAGCCTGGGCGATACAGCTGGACTCCGTCTCCAAAAAAAGAAAGAAAAGAAAAGAAAATGGGCATTTACTGGCTGGGCATAGTGGCTCACACCTGTAATCCCAGCACTTTGGGAGGCCAAGGTGGGAGAATCACTTTTGAGCCCAGGAGTTTGAGACCAGCCTAGGCAACATAGGAAGGCCTCTCTCTATAAATTTTTTTCCATTAGTTGTGCGTGGTGGCATGAGCATTGTAGCATGTGCCTGTGGTCCCAGTTACTTACAGAGGCTGAGGCAGGAGGATCACTTGAGCCTGGAGATTGAGGCTACAGTGAGCTGTGATCATGCCATTGCATTCCAGCCTGGGAGATAGAGCGAGACTCCGGAAAAAAAAAAAAAAAAAAAAAAAGGAAGGAAGGGAGGGAGGGAGGGAGGGAGGGAGGGGAAAATGGGTATTTATTTATCCTATCAGAAAAAAAAAGTTGAAATGAGCTTGTTAGATATAAAACTGGGTAATGTCTTACTGGTCGATAAAATTATGACCTTTGGGATTATCTTTTATAATAGAAAGAAATAATTTGCATCTCTATGGGAGAAATACAATTTATAATTTAATAATCTACAAAGTTAAAACTTGGACTCTGTATTTTCACAGAATATAGGCCCTAATCATAAGAAATAATTAATCAAAGGTACTCTCCCTAGAGATTTAAATAATCCTTGGAAGTAGGATGGCCTGTTAGGTAGAGCTTCTGATGATACTAAAAAGAGATGCCGGCAGTCATTCTTCTTTTGCTTATTTCCAAGTTTCAGATTATTATTTTCTTATGTCCTTGTACAAGTTACTTAAGTTCTCTGGAGCTCAGTTTTTTTCATCTGTAAAATAGAGATAATAATATCCTTTAAGGGCAGTTATGTGGAGGAGAAATAGTACATGCAAAGTGTCTGGCAGAGAATAGGTGTTAAATTAAAAGTAGCTATTAGGAGCAAAAATCATACACAATCAGACTTCCCAAAATCTTTCTTCCCCAGCCTTACCTGTGCTCCAAGGCTAAAAAGAATGTGTGTGTGTGTGTGTGTGTGTGTGTGTGCGCGCGTGCGCGTGTGTATGTGTATGTGATAACTCTGAAAAGCTGATTGGGGATAGTGGGGTGTTGAGGCGTGGCTCAATTCATTTATATAAAGATAGAGCCTAGCTTGAAAAGGCAAGCCACGCCCACCCATGGCTTAGAGCACTCTTTAAAATAACTTAATTTAATTTAATTTTTGTGGAGAGAGAATCTTCCTGTGGTGCCCAGGCTTCAGTGTGTTGACTATTCATAGGTATAATATAGCTCACTGCAGCCTCAAACTCCTGGGCTTAAGTGATCCTCCCGCCTCAGCCTCCCTAGTAGCTGGGACTAGAGGCACACCACGTTACCTGGCCTTAGAGTACTATTTTAAAGGCTTCTAAAGTGCTTACCAAATACACTAGAGGATTGAAGCAAGAAGGTAACAAGCATGATTCCCAGCATTCTGTGGGGGTAACTTGTACTTTTTGCAATTTGAAGAGAGTTCCTGCAGGAGGGAAAATAGCACCTTTTGCTGTCCCCGGAAGTTCCATCCCACAGCTTGATTAACAGGAGCTTGTCCAAACTAAGCCAGAAAAGTAAACCTGAACTAGCCATTCTGAACACTAGAAAAGCAGCATTCTGCCTGTTGTTCCTTTAGTGCCCTGCCCTGCCACAAGAGGAGACAGTGGGCACAGGTGAGGTCTGAACACAATAGTCTATATCATCCCACTCCCCGACTGCACACTGGTTTACTTTTCCCACCTCCCCTGCCCAGCAGCCTGCCGAGATCTGGCTCTTCACCCATGTGATAGCACAACAAGACTTTATAACTCCGTCACCTCTCAGCAGAAAGTCCCCACCCACACGGAAGAGCGCACCCCTGTTAGTAACCTAGTATTTTTCCTTGCCTGATGAGGAATGTTTGTTTTTCCATTACAGTAACATGCATAGTTCCCATGGGTGCTAATGGGACTTCCCCACAGATGCATAAAAGAGAATAGCACCTTGAATTTAGACAGAACCTTCTGCTGAATTCAGACATGATCTCATTAATTGCCTTCACATCCCTATGAAGTGACAAGGGGCCAAGTATCATGGTGTCTGGTATCCACATGAAGATAATGAGAAACATGTCATCATGTGTGACACAAAGTCAGGTATTTAACAAAAGTAACTAAGTTGAAATCCCCCTGCCCTCCAAGAACTTAGAGCTGTGCTGTCCCATAGGATAGGCACTGGCCACATATGGCTGTTGAGCATTTGAAATGTGGCTAGTCCAAATGAGATATGCTTTAAGTGTAAAATACACATCAGGGCTGGGCGCAGTGGATCACACTTGTAATCCCAGCACTTTGGGAGGCCAAGATGGCAGATCACCTGAGGTCAGGAGTTTGAGACCAGCCTGGCCAACATGACAAAACCTCGTCTCTATTAAAAATACAAAAATTAGCTGGGCGTGGTGGTGTGTGCCTGTAATCCCAGCTACGCAGGAGGCTGAGGCAAGAGAATCGGTTGAACCCAGGAGCGGGAGGTTGCAGCGAGCTGAGATTGCGCCCCTGCACTCTAGCCAGGGCAACAGACTGAGACTCTGTCTCAAAAAAAAAATTAAAACAAAATACACATCAGAGTTGAAAGACTTAGTGCAACAAAGTGACATATCTGATTAACAATTCTTATATTGATTACATATTAAAATGTAATACTATTTTTGGCTTTTTAAATTTTTTTCTTTTTTAAAATCATCCCTTTGGTAATAATATTTTTGACATATTGGTTTAAATAAAATAGATTATTAAAATTAACTTTTTTTTTTTCTTTATACTTTTCTCTGTAGCTGCCAAAAAATTGCTCATTGATAGCTTGCATTATGGTTCTATTGGGCAGAGCTGACTATGAGGCCAGCAAACTCCTTTTTGACCTTTATACATAGTCCCTTCGTTACACAGAAAATAAAATGTAACCAATGGCCCTGAGTCCTGGTCCTGTCTCTACTAATAACCAACTAGCAAGCTGTGACCTTAGTTAAATTAGTCTCCTGGTTTCTATGAGTTTTGATTTTCTTCTTGGTAAAATTAAAGTTTTGGACAATCAGTTGCAAGGATCCCTTCAAGTTCTGATAACTGGTAACTGGAAAATTACTTTGCCTTCTCACTTCTAGACCCTGGCCAAATTCCAAACAAGTTCTCAAATAGTCACTTCTAGAAGAAGATGAAGAGGTCTATCAAGGGTCTGTATCTGTTATATTCTGAGGAAGCTCCAGATGAAAGGACCACTGAACATTTTTAGGGGAATGTGAGACTAACTTTCAGGATGCAAATACAACTAAGAAATGCAAGAAAGTTTGGTTATATGACATTCTATGATCATTCAATGATCAGGTTTCCCAATCAGTCAGGACAGATTGGGTTATGCTGCACAATGGACAATCCCAAAATCTCCATGGATGGTTCAGAAAAGGATTTATTCTTTGAGCATACCATAGGTCCATTTCTGGTCATCCGATGGGGTCTTCTCACTGTAACCACTTAGGAACACAGGCCAACGGAAAAATGACCATCCTAAACATTGCCAGTGGCTATTCCAGAGGAAAAGTGAATCCCAGAGGGTATCACAGAGGTAATTATGCTGCCCAGCTCAGAAGCGACTCAGGTCACCTCCATTCCTTCTCACTGGCCAGAACTGGCCACATGGCCCTCTCCAACTGCAAGGGATCTGAGAAGTGCAATCCTACTGTGTATTCAAATAGTAGGAGAGCTGAAGTGTTTGATGCACAGGCCTAAAATCACCTGCTGGCCCAAGACTGTTCTTAAGCTTGTCCAGTCTGACCCAGGAGGATGTGTGGCCCTGGGCCCATACAGACTGGAGTGGATCCCTTCAATCACAATCAGATTCTGAGCAGTACCAGGCCAGGCTCTAGGCCGGAAGGAGTTGGGGGCTGGAATATAAGTAAATACCTAGGCTGGGTGCGGTGGCTCATGCCTGTAATACCAGCACTTTGGGAGGCCGAGGTGGGAGAATCACCTGAGGTCAGGAGTTTGAGACCAGCCTGGCCAATATGATGAAACCCCGTCTCTACAAAAATACAAAAAATAGCCAGGTGTGGTGGTGCATGCCTGTAGTCTCAGTTACTTGGAAGGCTGAGGCAAAATGATCACTTGAACCTAGGAGGCAGAGGTGGCAGTGAGTTGAGATCATGCCACTGCACTCCAGCCTGGGTGACAGAGCAAGACTCTGTCCCCCACCCCCCCAAACAAAAGTAAATACCTGGTCACCTTATTTCAACTTTTTGTATCAAAAAAAAAAAAAGGATTTTCCACTAATCATAATTTTACTTACTTACTAGGCATTTGTGCTTTTAAAAGTATTTGAGGGCCAGGGCAGTGGCTCATGCCTGTAATCCCAATACTTTGGGGGGCTGAGGCAGACAAATCACCTGAGGTCAGGAGTTCGAGACCAGCCTGGCCAACATGGTGAAACCCCGTCTCCACTAAAAAATACAAAAATTAGCCAGGTGCGGTGGCACACACCTATAAACCCAGCTACTTGGGAGGCTACGGCAGGAGAATCTCTTGAACCTGGGAGGCGGAGTTTGCAGTGAGCCAAGATTGCACCACTGTACTCCTGCCTGGGCAACAAAGCAAGACTCCATCTCAAAGTAAATAAGTAAATAAGTAAGTAAATAAATAAATAAACGTATTTGGGGAAGAGAGACTTGGCCTCCCATTTTTGCCAAGTTAGTCCCTGTTATATAAAACCATCCCCCAAAAACTGAAAACTGTGGTTTCACTAGTTCCCTTTCCAGGTAACAACAGCCTCCCTGATCTATACTCAAGCAACCCTAAACAAATATCACCACTGTCAAAAACAACCAGCCACCCCTTCCAGGGCCATGCTAATTAGCCAGCACATATGCAGGGGCATCACTGAACTGAACTGCCTCTCTAATTTTCCTCTCTGACGAAGCCTCCATTCCAACCAAATCACTCTACTCTGTATAAACGTACATCTGGGGCCTGCCCCTCCATTTTCCCGATGGGCATAGATCTCTCTAATGACCAGGAATGGCACAGCACTTGATATCATAGACTGGACACTGGGCTTTTTCACTCAGCGAACTTATGCCATACAGACCCTTCTGTACACTTCAAGCATATGCACAAACAAATGCACCAAGGTGACCCACCAACATGTGTTGAATGGCTCAACACAGTACATATTAGATGGGCACCTCTGCAAAGCAGTCCATTTCAGCCAAGGGACAGCTGATGGTGAGTAGCCTTAATGTATTCTGAGTCCAGTGCTGTTTGGGCACCACTTCTTGCTTCCTGGGTTACACAATGTGTGGGTTCAAACAGAATCCTAATGTGTCCCCTGAGCCGTGGGTCACTGCAGCAATCTCTCTACAGCTGCTGCTCCCCAGTGACCAGTCCCGGTGTCCAGACTGTGCTTCCCAGAATCACTTCCTCAGCCCACTTGGGGGTGACCCACTTTGCTGGTGAAGTGACAGCTGCAGAACAATCTTGTGGCTGTTCATATGGCGGATGGAAAATGCTGGGTCAAAGGCACTTCCAAAAACAAACATGACATTCTGCCCCCTAGGACTGAGGATGCACAATTTTGTATTATCTCCATACCTCTGATTAATGAAAATAAGGCCAAAAAAAAGTTTAACCAAAAATAGAATGGGAGCTAACATTTCTGAAGCCTTAACCCAGGCTAGGGAATTTACTAAGTACTTTAAATGCATTAGCTCATTTGATCCTCTCAGCAACCCTGTAAGGGAATTACTGTTATCTAATTTTACATGTGAAGAGATTGATATTTTGGCAAATGAAGTAATTTGTCTAAAGTCATGCAGCTAGGAAGTATGGAAATCAGAATTGAGATCCAGGATCCAAACACAATCCCCAACCCTGATGTAGCAGAGGGTTCTCCAGAGAAACAGAGCCAATAGAAAATAGATATAGATAAGATGTATTTTAAGAAATTGGCTCATGCTATTGTAGAGGCTGACAATCTGAAATTTGTAGGGCAGTTCACCAAGCTAGAAATTCAGGCAGAAGTTGATGCTACAGTCCTATAGCTTCTTTCTTTCTTCCTTTCCTTCTCTCCTTCTTTATTTCCTTCCTTCCTTCCTTCCTTCCTTCCATCTTTCTTTCCTTCTTTCCTTTCTTCCTTCCTTCTTTCCTTCCTTCCTTCCTTCCTAGGGTCTTGCTGTGTCTCCCAGGCTGGAGTACAATGGTGCAATCACAGCTCACAGCAGCCTTGAATTCCTGGGCTCAAGCAATCTTCCTGCCTCGGCCTCTGGAGTAGCTGGGATTACAAGTGCATGCCACCATACCAGGGTGATTTTTTCATTTTTAATTTTCGTAGAGACAGGGTCTCGCTATGTTGCCCAGGCTCAGAAGTTCTTCTTTCCCAGGTTTCTGCTCTTAAGGCCTTCAAATGAGTGGGTGAGGCCAACCCAGAGTACGGAGGATAATCTGCTTTACTTAAAGTCAACTGACGCAGATGTTAAATACGCCTATAAAATACCTTCACAACAACATCTAAACTAGTGTTTAATGACATAGCTAGGTACTATGGTCTCATCAAGTTGACACATAAAACTAACCATTACACCTGGTCACTGGATTAAGAAGCTGCATTTTTGGCTGGGCACGGTGGCTCACGCCTGGAATCCCAGCACTTTGGGAGGCAGAGGTGGGTGGATCATGAGGTCAAGAGATCGAGACAATCCTGGCCAACATGGTGAAACCCCATCTTTACTAAAAATAAAAAAATTAGCTGGGCATGGTGGCACGCACCTGTAGTCCCAGCTACTCGGGCAGGTGAGGCAGGAGAATCGCTTGAACCCGAGAGGCAGAGGTTGCAGTGAACCAAGATCGCACCACTGTACTCCAGCCTGGCGACAGAGCAAGACTCCGTCTCAAAAAAAAAAAAAAGAAGAAGAAGAAGAAGCTGCATTCTTAACCCCTGTCCTATGCTGCCTAGCAATGGTACTGGTCTTCAAGCTTGTGAGATTTAGTCTCGTTTCTGCATCTGGAACAAATGAAAAGGACTGGTTGCTTCACACCCGTTGGATATTTTTATCAGTCTTCTGTCACTAGCAATGTATCTCTAAACGTTCTTTCTTTCTTTTTTTTTTTTTTTTTTTTTTGAGATGGAGTTTCACTCTTGTTGCCCAGGCTGGAGTGCAATGAATGGCGCAATCTCGGCTCGCCGCAACCTCTGTCTCCCAGGTTCGAGTAATTCTCCTGCCTCAGCCTCCTGAGTAGGTGGGATTACAGGCATGTACCACCATGCCTGGCTAATTTTGTATTTTTAGTACAGAGGGGGTTTCTCCATGTTGGCCAGGGGGGTCTCGAACTTCCAACTTCAGGTGATCCACCCGCCTCAGCCTCCCAAAGTGCTGGGATTACAGGTGTGAGCCACCGCGCCCAGCCCATATCTCTAAACTTTCAAAACTCAATTCAGGTGTCATCTCCTTTGCCAGCCCCAGAAATAAGATGGGCTCAAAAAGAGAATCCAGAAATTCAATTAAGGAAGGATGTTCTTCCTTAAGCCATGGCAGTACTTTACTAATACTCCTAGTGAAGCATTGCAATCATCCGCCTTTCAAACAAGGATTGTGCCGCAAGGGAAAGGACTCAAATGATTTTTGTCTTTCCATGATCCGGAAAAATACTTAAGTAGCAGGCGATCAATAAATGTATGTTGGCCAGGTGCGGTGGCTCATGCCTGTAATCCAAACACTTTGGGAGGTGGAGGTGGGAAGATCGCTTGAGCCCAGGAGTTCAAGACCAGTCTAGATAGCATAGGGAAATCCTGTCTCTACAAAATAAAAATAAATAAAAACATTAGCTTGAGAATGTGAGGCAGGAGGATTGCTTGAACCCAGCAACTCCACGCTGCAGTGAGCTATGACCACATCACTGCACTCCAGCCTGGGCGACAGAGTGAGACTGTGTCTCAGTAAATAAATAAATAAATAAATAAATAAATAAATAAATAAATAAATATATGCCGAGTGGTGGAAAGGATGAGCAAAAGTTTTTGTTGTTGTTTTGAGACAGAGTCTTGCATTGTTGCTCAGGCTGGAGCGCAGAGGCACTATCATGGCTCACTGCAGCCTCAACCTCCAGGCTCAAGCAATCCTTCTTCCTTAGCCTCCTCAGTAGCTGGGACTATAGGTGCACACCACCACACGCGGCCAATGTTTTTATTTTTTTGCAGAGACAGAGTCTTGCTTATGTTGCCTAGGCTAAAATGTTTACAGATAGCAAGATTTCTGGCACAAAGTAAACTACAGAATTTTCAATTCAGGGATTTTTTGTCTTTGATTCCTCTCTCCAGTCCAGGTGGATTCCTCTGTTGGTTTCAGGAGGTCTCTATGAAACCTCAAGACTTCTGTGCACAATTCTGTGAGCAAATGCATCTGTGAGTTGTTATTTAGAGAAGGTTCCGAGCTTTCAAATGTTATATTTCCTGGGATAGTCTCAGCTTGCTCCTATTGTAGGTCAATTAATTTTTTTAAAAAATTGTTTTTAGTATCTCTTTTCACTCTCAAAAGGATTCTGGTTTGTGCAAGATTAAAACCCATTGTATAAAACTTTATCCACATGTCTACCTTCACAGCCAGGTGGATTCAAGACGTTTGAACCAAGAAGAAATGCTTTCTTGGCCTATTCCTGCATTCTCTTGTGCAGCCAGCAGCAGCCTCTGCTTTATACAAAGGTTAGTGTAAATTAGGTCAAAGTTTCAGTTGAGTAGTAGGGGCCTCACCCTAAGGTGGGGTCACCCAAAGCTCCAGACCCCAGACTCTGGCTGTATCCTTGAGACATAAGAGTCATTGATGATAAGTTAAACCACATCAGCAAAAAAAACAACAACATTCCTGGGAACAACTGAAAATGCATGTCCTGCTGATCGACAGAAACCAACACAGTAGCACAGTGTTTTAAGAGAGGCGACCTCAGGCTTTTCTTGTTAGAAAGTAATTATCATGGTACTCACCTTTCTAGATGATGATAATACAATTTGCTGACTAGGAGAGCAAGGGTCAGTGTGGACCATAGTGTTTGCCTCTCCTGTAAGAGGAGAGCTATTGGCCGTTAAAACACACTTGGAAATTGTTCAGCAATCAATCCTTTGATAAAAATTGATATATTGGAGAATAGCTATGAAAAGACACCATGATCACGCTTTCTGAATCAAAAACTGGGATTTGGCTATGCACAATGACTCATGTCTGTAATCCCAGCACTTTGGGAGGCTAAGGAGGGAGGATCAGTTGAAGCCAGGAGTTTGAGACCAGCCTGGCCAATAAAAATACAAAAAAAATTAGCCAAGAGTGGTGGCATATGCCTGTAATCTCAGCTACTCAGGAGGCTGAGGCACAAGAATT